>NC_000012.12:113217703-113369218 GCF_000001405.40 Homo sapiens
ACGTTTTTAGGAGAGACAGGGTTTCAGCATGTTGCCCAGGCTGGTCTTGAACTCCCGGGCTCAAGTAATCCACCTTCCTTGGCCTCCCAAAGTGCTGGAATTGCAAGCGTGAGCCACTGCCCCTGGCCTCCACTCATATGTAACTTTCCTGGATAGTTCATATAAATGGGATCATGCAGTATGTAATTGTTTGCATCTGACTTTTTGCTTAGCACAGTGGTTTTCAACCTGGGGCAACTTTGCCCTCCAGAAGACATTTGGCAATAATCGGGAGATGCATTTGCTTGTCACAACTGAGAGAGGCTACTACTGGCATCTTGTAGGTAGAGGCTCGTAATATTGCTAAATATCCTACAATTGGCAGGATAGTTCCCCACAACAAAGAATTTTCTCACCCAAAACATCAATAGAGCTGAGGTTGAAAAACCCTGACCTTTTTTTTTTTTTTTTGAGATGGAGTTTTGCTCTCGTTTCCCAGGCTGGAGTGCCATGGCGTGATCTCGGCTCACTGCAACCTCTGCCTCCTGGGTTCAAGCGATTCTCCTGCCTCAGCCTCCCAAGTAGCTGGGATTACAGGCATGCGCCACCACGCGCAGCTAATTTTTTTTTTTTGTATTTTTAGTAGAGACGGGGTTTCTCCATGTTGGTCAGGCTGGTCTCAAATTCCCTACCTCAGGTGATCTGCCTGCCTTGGCCTCCCAAAGTGCTGGGATTTACAGGCGTGAGCCACCGTGCCCGGCTGCCTTTTTTTTTTAATAGACAGGGTCTTACTCTGTCACGCAGGCTAGAGTGCAGCAGTGCAACCATGGATTACTGTAGCCTTGACCTCCCCAGGCTCAGGTGATCCTCCCACCTCAGCCTTCTGAATAGTTGGGACTACAGGTGCATACCACCATGCCTGGCTAATTTTTGTATTTTTTGTAGAGATAGGGTCTCACTTTGTTACCAGGCTCCTAGGCTCAAACTCCTAGGCTCAAACTAGGATCCTCCTGCCTTGGCCTCCCAAATTGCTGGGATTACAGGCGTGAGCCACTGGGCCAAAAACCCTCAACTTAACATGTTTTTGAGGTTCATCCAGGTTGTAGCAATTATTAGTATTTCATTCCTGAATAGTATTTTATTGCTGAATAGTATTCCATTCTAAGGAAATATCATGAGTTATTTATTTATTCACCTGTTGATGACATTTGGGTTGTTTCCAGTTTTGGGCTGTTAAGGGTGATGTTGCTAAGAACATTTATATTTAAGTCTTTGTGTGGACTTATGTTTTCACTTGGGAGGGGTAACTTCCTAAGAGTGGAATTGCTAGGTTATGTGTAAGTTTATTTTTTGTTTTATTTATTTATTTTTGAGACAGGGTCTCACTCTGTCACATAGACTGGAGTGCAGTGGCACGATCTCGGCTCACTGCAACCTCCGCCTCCTGGGTTCAGGTGATTCTCCTGCCTCAGCCTCCCAAATGGCTGGGATTACAGGGACCCGCCAGCATGCCCTGCTAATTTTTGTATTTTTAGTAGAGACGGGGTTTTGCTATGTTGGCCAGGCTGGTCTCGAACTCCTGACCTCAGGTGATCCACCTGCCTGTGCCTCCTACAGTGCTGGGATTACAGGCACGAGCCACTGTGCCTGGCCTATGTTTAACTTTTTAAGAAACTGCCAACTATATTTCAGATTGGTGGTACCAATTGGTATTCTGCTGTACCTACCGGCAACATATGAAAGCTACAGTTTGTTTATTTATCTACATGATGATACTTGGTATTGTCTTTTTGATTTTTAAATGTCTACTCAACTCTTTTGCCCATTAAAAAAATTGAGTTGTCCTCTTATTGAGTTATAAGAGTTATTTTTATATTCTATATACAACTCTTTTATGACACATGATTTGCAAATATTTCCTCCATGTCTGTGTCTGTGGCTGATCTTTTCATTTTCTTATGAAAATATCTTTTGAACCTCAAAGTTTTTTTTTTATATATTTTTTTGAGACAGGGTTTTTCGCTCTGTCGCCCAGGCTGGAGTGCAGTAGTGCAATCATGGCTCACCGCAACCTCCGCCTCTTGCGATCAAGCAATTCTCCCACCTCAGCCTTATTTATTTATTTATTTATTTATTTATTTTTTGAGCTGGAGTCTCGCTCTATCACCCAGACTGGAGTGCAGTGGCACGATCTCGGCTCGCTGCAACCTCCACCACCCGGGTTCAAGAAATTCTCCCGCTCAGCCTCCTGAGTAGCTGGGATCACAGGCACACGCCACCAGGCCCGGCTAATTTTTGTATTTTTAGTAGAGACAGGGTTTCACCATGTTGGCCAGGCTAGTCGCAAACTCCTGGCCTCAGGTGATCTGCTGGCCCAGGTGATCTGCTGGCCTCGGCCTCCCAAAGTGCTGGGATTACAGGCTGAGCCACCGCGCCCGGCCCTTAGCCTCATTTAATCATCACAAGAAACTCTCTGTCTTCAGTAGGTACAATGAGATCACATCTTAAGGATGGAGATGGGAGTTAAATTCCAAAGTTAGGATAAAGGCAAAAGTGGTGTAATAAAAATTACCTAATTTATTTATTTATTTGAGACAGAGTCTTGCTCTGTTGCCCGGGCTGGAGTGCAATGGCGCTATCTTGGCTTACTGCAACCTAAGTCTCCCGGGTTCAAGTGATTCTCGTGCCTTAGCCTCCCGAGTAGTTGGGATTACAGGTGCGCCTCCATGCTCAGCTAATTTTTGTATTTTCAGTAGAGATGGGGTTTCACCATACTGGCTAGGCTGGCCTAGAACTCCTGACCTCAAGTGATCTGCCCGCCTCGGCCTCCCAAAGTGCTGGGATTACAGGCGTGAGCCACCATGCTCGGCAAAAACAACAACAACAACAACAAAACAAACAAACAAAACTACCTAATTTAAACACTGAAGTGAGATTGCCTGCTCACCGAGGAACGTATGGCCGTTGGGTGAAATGGGAGGGGACTTATAAACTCCCCTCCCACCCACAGCTCCCATGTTTGACTTGAAATAAGTTAACTACGATATGACTCTGCTTGACTGTTGTCCTCCTCGTTTTAGGGATGAGGGAGTGGAGCCATGAAGTGGGCAGGTAGAAGGGCAGAATGGAGGCCGGCTCCCTGCAGGTTGTGGAGCGAAAGGTCCAGACTAAGGCAGGAGCTGAGGGACAGGGTCCTGAAGCTGAGACGAGATCGCAGCGGGGGCTTCTAATTCCTCAGGGAGCCAAAGGACAGAGGGCTGAACCCTATTCCACATCTCCCCCGATCCGCGACCCTTTCCCAACTGGCTACTCACCTGCTCTGACCGCTCCAGGTTTCCCTAGCCACAGTTACCGCCGCGGTCCCTGCGTTGCTAGGTTACCCGCCAATCTCAGAAGGCGAGACTCGGTGTCTGACTGACCTTTCTTTTCACCATTCAATTTATTGTTCCGCTCAGTTGTCCCCACCTCCTGAAGTCTGACCAATCAGAAGCACCGCCATTTTGACCTTTCACCAATGGAAAGACTTGGGACTCCCTCTGGGTTGGACTCAACGAGTAAGGCGGGGAACAAGGGAGGAGTAAGGGGCGTGGATTCTTCGTCCCGCCCCTTCTTAAGGAGGCGGGCAGGGAGTACCGCATCGGCGGCGGGCGAGACCTGCGGAAGGACGTGATAGTTGGCCAATCAGAGTTCATCACGGTAGCCCAGTTAGCCAGTAGGACGCTGTGAAGGGGAAATGGGGCGGGGCCAGCGGGGTTGAGAGGACGGTAGGCGGTGGATAGGAGAGCTGGCGCAGCTGCCCTGGTGGCAGTGGCTGAAGTGGCGGCGGCTTCGGCGGCTGCGGCGGCTGCAACAGCTTCGGGCTCGGGGTTTTGGCGGCGGCGCCGGCGGGCTAGGCTGCGCGGTGCGGACCCCGGCGCGCGGTCCGGGTTGCTGGGGCGGCGCGTGTAAGAATCCGAGGGATGCGACGGCTTGGCCCGAGGGAGAGGGCAGGGATCAGGGGTCAGAGGACGCGGAGTAAGGGGTTGCGGCGCAGCACTCTGGTGTGGGAGGTGGGCCGTACGGGCCCAGAGGGGGCGCAGGGAAGTCTCCACCGCGCTTCTCTCCGTCCAGCCCGGGCCGGGGCTTTGCACCCTCTCTCCTCGCCCCCGACTTCTTAGGGCGACCCTCACGTGGGCTCCCAGCCAGGGGCTGGGAGCACGTGGAGCTGGAGCCAGCTGTCCTGCCTCCTTCTTCCTCCCTCCCTCGCTCTTCTCCCTGGCGCCCTTAGGTGACCCCACAGGAGTCTTGTGCCTGGGTCAGGCTGCCCCAGCGGACAGCGGGATGGTAGCTGAACCTCTTCCCCTAGGCCCTTTCCCCAGCGCTGGCCAGTTGGGTCCTCTGTAGAGGCAGAAGCAAAGCCCGCGGAGGGAACACTGGACCAGGACGCAGGAGTCCCGGGTTCTAGCCCTACTCCTCCACTGTGTGACCTTGGGCAAGTCTCTTCCCCTCTCTGGGCCTCATTTTTGTCTGTCTGGAAAAATGACGTGTTTGAATTCAAATCAGGGGACTGGTTCTAGTCGTAGGTGTATATAGGGTAATGGTTAAGCAGGCAGGGTCCCTGATTCAGACTGCCTGGGTTGAAACTTATAAAAGGCAAGTTAACCACTCCAAGCTTCAATTTCCTCATTCCTAAAGTGGGGATATTAGCTAAGATAGGATTTTTCAACAGCAGCTCAGTTGACATTTTGAGCCACATAATTCTGTTTCGGGAGGTCTCACCTGTGCATTGAAGCAAGTTCAGTGGCATACCTGGACTCCACCCACCAGCAATCCCCCCACTCCCAAGTTGTGACAGTCAAGATGTCTCCAGACATTGCCGATGTCCCCATGGGGGCAAAAATCACCCCAGTTGAAAGCCAGTGGGCAAAGGCAGTACAGGCAGGCAAGCAGTCATATATTAAACAGTTAAACAACCGTGTTGAAGCATTTGAATGCGAGGACTTTAATCTATGGTGGCAGATATCATGAAAATTATGCATGAACAACCCCCCTGCCTCTTTTTTTTTAGCTCATCATTAATGGTAGTGTATTTTATGTGTGGCCCAAGATAGTTCTTCCAGCGTGGCCCAGGGAAGCCAAAAGGTTGGACAGCCGTGAGTTAAAACATAGAAACCACTAGCCATTATGATAATGGTAACATTAAGAAACCTCTTCTCTGTGAGTTAATAAATTCTCCTGCCTTCAAAGTAAACATGGGAGATAATTGTCAAAGCTGAGTAATGGATACAAGGAAGTTCACGTATATATTCTCTGCACTTTTGAGAATGTTTGAAAATATCTGTGGTAAAAAGTTAAACCAAAACGACAATACAACCATAATTCTTAAGACTGCCAAATAGTAGTGTCTCATCTGGGATTTCCTCTTCTGCCTTTCCACTGCTGAGATTTAAAAGCAAAATAAATCCCCAGATCTGGAGGAAACTTAAGAAAAAAAAACTCACAGGAAGTGTGCTGGGCAGAGAGCTACGGGCTTAGCAGCAAGTAGAATGATGTTTACTTTCGCTGCCTTGTTTCAAAACGTTGTACTGTTCCCTGTGGATGCACAAGGATTTGCTTGGAGTTGTTCCAATGATTCGAGGAAGAAGTCAGTTGCTCAGCTGCCATTGACTAGGTCAGTTGGGAGGCAAAGTGGGTTGAGCCCAGAGCCCACAGCTTGAGGAAGGAACCTGCTGCTGTTTGCAAGTTCAAAGGTCTGCAGTCAGATCTGCTGAGTCTTTTTTTTTTTTTTTTTGGTTCTTCTCAGCGGAAACGGGAATGTGCATAAATAGGAGCTGTAACAGGCTAGCTCGGAGTGTTTTACTTATTTAGTTATTTTTAAATTTTTAGTTTATTTATTTTTTGAGATGGAGTCTCGCTCTGTCGCCCAGGCTGGAGTGTAGTGGCGTGATCTCAGTTCACTGCAACCTCTGCCTCCTGGGTTCAAGTGATTCTCCTGCTTCAGGCTCCCCAGTAGCTGGGATTACAGGCATGCACCACCACACCTGGCTAATTTTTGTATTTTTAGTAGAGACCAGGTTTCGCCATGTTGGCCAGGCTGGTCTCAAACTCCTGACCTCAAGCGATCCACCTGCCTCGGCCTCTCAAAATGTTGGGATTACAGGCATGAGCCACCACTCCCGGCTGCTCTGAGTGTTTTAAATTGGGAGTTAAGGATGAGCACTTTTACTGTATTAAAAAATACTCACCAGTTAAAAAAAAATACTCTTTTCCCCTTCCTCGGACACCTAAATCTAAGAGAACAACTCCTATATAAAAATGATATAAAAATCATACATTTTGGAAGTATGTTTCTAACTGTTCTGAGAGGCTGCATGGTAAAGCTGAAGTGAAAGATGTATTTTAAATCTGTATATATGAGCAAGTATATATTGATGATTGAAGCTAGGTGCTGCCTAAATACATGGCCCAGACTTTGAGGAATTATAGTGTAATGGCTGGGAATACAGGTTTGGAGTCACACCGTAGAGCTGAAAGCTTGGCTTTTATTTAGCTGTGGGTCCTTGGGCAGGATACGTAATCTGTCTGTGCCTGAAATACCCACCACACCCATCCTGTAATGGGGGGATAATAAGCCTGCCTATCTCATGGGGCTATTAAGAATTTTCAGTTAACTTTTACTTATGAAGTGCTAGTAGGGTCCCTCATACATAGTACGCACTCATTGAGTATTAACTATTATTATTATTACTATTTTGAGACGAGTCTCGCTCTGTCGCCCAGGCTGGAGTGCAGTGGTGCAATCTCGGCTCACTGCAAGCTCCGCCTCCCGGGTTCACGCCTTTCTCCTGCCTCAACCTCCTGAGCAGCTGGGACTACAGGCGTCTGCCACCACGCCCGGCTAATTTTTTGTATTTTTAGTAGAGACGGGGTTTCACCATGTTAGCCAGGATGGTCTTGATCTCCTGACCTCGTGATCCGCCCGCCTCGGCCTCCCAAAGTGCTGGGATTACAGGCATGAGCCACCGCGCCTGGCCGCATATTAACTATTATTTTAATGGTTGTATTTTTTTGTCATTTAATTTAATTAAATTAATTTATTTATTTATTTGAGGTGGAATCTGGCTCTGTCGCCCAGGCTGCAGTGCAGTGCACCATCTCGGCTCACTGCAACCTCTGCCTCCTGGGTTCAAGTGATTCTCCTGCCTCAGCCTACAGAGTAGCTGGGATTACAGGCGCAAGCCACCACACCCAGCTAATTTTTGTATCTTTAATAGAGGCGGGGTTTCTTCATTTTGGCCAGGCTGGTCTTGAACTCCTGAGCTCAAGTGATCCACCCGTCTCTGCCTCCCAAAGTGCTGGGATTACAGTTGTAAGCCACCGTGCCCAGCCTTTTATTTTACTTTATTTTTTAGAGACAGGGTCTCACTCTGTTGTCCAGGCTGGACTGCAGTGGTGTGATCATAGCTCACTATAACCTCCAACTCCTGGGATCAAGTGTTTCCGTCACCTCAGCCTCCCAAGCAGCTAGGCCTACAGGCATATGCCATCATACCCAGCTAATTTAAAATTTTTTATTTTGTAGAGATGGAGTCTTGCTACATTGCCCAGGCTGGTCTTGAACTGCTAGGCTCAAGCAGTTCTCCCACCTTGACCTCCCAAAGCGCTGAGATTACAGGTGGGAGCCACTGTGCCCAGCCTATTTTTTTCTTTGAAGTCTTTACAAAACTTACAAATAAATGTAAAGAGAAGTGGAGGTAGGACATATTGGCCCTAATGTCACTCTCCAGACAGAATTACCCTTAACTTTTCAGTATTTGTTCTTGCAGGGTTCCCTCCCTCCGTATTTTAATGCTATTATACTGTAATAATGCTTTTATTCTGTTTTTATTTATTTATTTATCTTTATTTTATTTTTTTGAGACAGAGTCTCGCCCTGTCACCCAGGCTGGATGGCTCTATCTCGGTTCACTGCAACCTCTGCCTTCCGGGTTCAAGCGATTCTCCTGCCTCAGCTTCTTGAGTAGCTGGGATTACCGGCACGTGCCACCCCGCCCAGCTAATTTTTTGAATTTTTGGTAGAGATGGGTTTTCACCATGTTGGCCAGGCTGCTCTCAAACTCCTGACCTCAGGATCCGCCCGCCTCGGCCTCCCAAAGTGCTGGGATTACAGGTGTCAGCCACTGTGCCCGGCCTAATTCTTTTATTTTTTAAGAGACAGGATTTCACTCTGTTGCCCAAGCCAGAGTGCAGTGGTGCAGTCATAGCTCACTGTAGCCTTGAACTCCTGGGCTCAAGTGAGCCTTCTGAGTAGCTGGGACTACAGGTGTGCCACCTGCCCAGCTAATTTTATTTATTTATTTATTTTTGTATGTTAAATATTTATTTTATTTTTTTCTGTGTGTATGCTTACCCAACCAGCTTTTTTTTTTTTTAATTTTTTATAGAGACAAGGTCTTGCTATATTGCCCAGGCTGATCTCAAATTCCTGGCCTTAATTGATCTTCCCACCACAGCCTTCCAAAATGCTGGGGTTACAGATGTGAGCCACCCCACCGGCCAATTTTTTTAAAAATTGAGTTTTAATTTACCATTTTATTATTTTTTAAATTAAGATATAATTTACCATTTTATTATTTATTTTGAGACAAGGTCTCTGTCACTTAAGCTGGAGTGCAGTGGCATGATCTCTGCTCACTGCAGCTTCCACCTCCTGGGTTTAAGCAATTCTCATGCCTCAGTTACCCGAGTACCTGGGATTACAGGCACCTACCACCAAGCCCAGCTAATTTTCTGTATTTTTAGTAGAGATGGGGTTTTGCTATGTTGGCCAGGCTGGTCTTGAACTCCTGGCTCAAGTGACCCACCCACCTTGGCCTCCCAAAGTGCTGGGATTATAGGTGTGAGCCACCGCGCCTGGCCCTAGTTCACCATTTTAAAGAGTATACTTGAGTGGTTTTTATTCACGAGGTTGTGCAACCATCACCACTATCTAATTTCAGAATAGATTCATCAGTCATGGCTGTATTTTAATAATTATCTTTTATTTTTTTAATTCCCAAACCCTAGAAGATGCCTCTAATGGAGGAGTTTCTGAGCAGCACCCCTGGCCCAGTGGCTTTGAAAGGGAGCTCAAACCAGAGACTATTTCAAGCCCTGGATATCATATCCTGAGGGCCACAGGAGAAGAGAACATGGCTGTGAGTTTGGATGACGACGTGCCGCTCATCCTGACCTTGGATGAGGGTGGCAGTGCCCCACTGGCTCCCTCCAACGGCCTGGGCCAAGAAGAGCTACCTAGCAAAAGTAAGATGGTGGGGTGGGCTGGGGGGACCCCAGCTTTTCTGTTTCAGAGGCTGAGAGGTGATAAGCGCTTTGTGGTCTGATAGTAGGGGTGTGTAACTTGTTGCCTGGCCCCACATTTGAGCCCCAAGTTCTGATACAGAAACTACTCCTGGGAGGCTGTGTGTTTCTCCTTCCACACCCCCAGCTTGGCAGTGTTTCTGGGGGCCTAGCTGCCCCTCTTGGTGCCCTCGCTACCTTCTCCACTGCCTGCCTTGCACCTGAGGTACCTTGGCCTGCCTGTGGATGCTTGGTGGGGACCTCAGGCCAACCTACTTTGGCTGCCTTCCCTGCCCCATTCCTTGTTAAAAAAAGAAACAGATTTCAACACCAGCCTCCGTCTGTCCCCATCTGAAACCGTTGGCAGGAAAGCAGCACTGCCCGCGTCTCTTTGCTCCATCTCAGTCCCTTCTTGCCCAGGACAGCGGGGAAGAGGGCGAGTGTTTTGTCATGATCCATTGATTTGAGGGCTTGGGGTTTTGCTTTGTCTTCCTCTGAACCAAAGCCTAGCACAAAGTGAACCCAAGTGCGGCAAGGAGCTTTAAATTTTTTAAATTTTAAGTGTGTTTCTGGCAGAATGAGAGGCCTTGAAAACCTTTCTGGTTCTCATCCCGAAGCCATTTGTTTCAGTTGCTCAGGCCTTGGGCTCAGGAGAGGCTTAAAATAACTCGCCTTTTCTGGAGGGTCCTAAGACATCAGGAAGCAGTGCTTTAGGGTCTGCTTAGCAAATGGATGTTCCACCGTCTCCCAGTGCTCCCCAGTCAGGGCAGAGATGTTTGGGGCCAAGGAGAGACGAGCCAGGCTCTCCCGTCTCATTTGTCCAGGGAGAATTCAGTTGAGTTGCAGGGAGTTTGGTGGCCTCCCCTGGGAACTGATGAAGGAGAGCAGTGTTTCCAGGGATGTGAGTGTGGTGGGGAGCCCTGGCTGCCTAGAAACAGGCCTCTCTTTGCTTCACTGTGTTCACCCTCATCTAGGGTGGCAGAGCTGGATTGCCCAGAAGGATTCGAACATAAACTTGATTTTTCCCCAAGTGCCACTCAGGGATGAGAAAGCAGTGGCTCTGATTTCAGACTATCTGTTTTCTTTCTGAAATCCCTTTGCAAGGCTAGGCAGTATTATCCCTATTTACAGAGGAGGAAACTATGGGTCAGAGAGGTCAAGTAACTTGTCTGAAGTCACACAGCCAGGAAATGGTTGAGCAGAGATTTGAACCCAGCATCATCTGACTCCAGAATTCCTTCCCCTTCTCCTCTTCCTTCTTTTACTTCTTCAGCTGCTCCTCCCTCTCCTTTTTTCTTCATCACCCTTAATAAATGTGAGCACAGGCCAGGCGTGGTGGCCCCCACCTTTAATCACAGCACTTTGGGAGGCCAAGGCAGGAAGATCACTTGAGCCCAGTGACTTTGAGTTCAAGACCAACCTGGGCAACATAGCGAGACCTCGGCTGTACAAAAAAATTAAAAACTTAGCTGGGTATGGTGGTGCATGCCTGTAGTCCCAGCTACTCAGGAGGCTGAGGTGGGAGGATTGCTTGAGCCCAGGAAGGTTGCAGTGGGCTATGACTGCACCACTGCACTCCAGCCTGGGCAACAGAGCAAGACCCTGTCTCAAAAAAATAAAAGGTGAGTACAGACCTTTAGCATTTATATTATCTCCTCATATAACCTCAATATAGGGTTGTTATTATTATCTGTATTTTACAGAGGAGGAGACAGGCTCAGAGAGGTTAAGTGACTTGTCCAAGGTCACACAGCTAGTAAGCAGTAAAGCCTGTCTTTCCTCCCACACCACAGTGGAAGGCGCTTTGGGGAAAGGGATGAAAGTGATTGTGGCTCAGTTTCAGCTTTAGAGAGGAATGCTGCCTAGTGAGGGAGGGTGGTTGGCCTACTAAGGGTGTGGCTTGTGTCTGGAAATAGCCAGGCTTAAGATTCTAAATGGGAATCCTGGCTGTCATCGTGAGTGTCACTTTTAAGTCCCTCCAACGTGCCTGACCTGATGGTGGGGTGTCCAGCTTTCCTGTGGGATGAAAGGGGCAAGAGAGCAACCCAGTCCTGTGTCAAGATCAGGCTTTGAATGTTGATGAATAGGAAATAGGCCAGAGACACAATAAGACTCCCCTTGGCTAGGCCACTAGCAAGGCTGCTTTTATCTTGGCAAAGTCAGTGGCTTGCTTTGGTTTGTTTCTCAAGAATAAAGAAATGTATAACTAACTGCTGGGGTCCAGGGACATTGTTTTTCCTGTACAGCACATTAGTATCTTAGTTTCTTCTCTCAGCTTCTTACTGGGTCATTTTTTAAAACCTCAATGACTTGTGGGTGTAATTCACCAAGCCTGGCTGGGAAGAAGGGTAGGACCTGTGCAAGTAAACAAGAGTTTTCAGAGGAGGCCTGCTCTGCCTTAGCATAGTAGGCCTTTGATATTTCATGCTTGGATTTTGGCCTTGACCTTCTACCCCAGCGTCCCCCTGTCCCTGCTGTCTGAGGAGCAGTCCTTCAGTCCTTTTTTTTGAGACAGTCTCGTTCTGCTACCCAGGCTAGAGTGCAGTGGCACAATCTCGGCTCATTGCAACCTCCGCCTCCCGTGTTCAAGCAATTCTCCTGCCTCAGCCTCCCAAGTAGCTGGGATTACAGGCGTGAGCCACTACACCCAGCTAATTTTTTTGTATTTTTAGTGGAGACGGGGGTTTTACCATGTTGGCCAGGCTGGTCTCGAACTGTTGGCCTCAAGTGATCCACCTGCCTCGGCCTCCCAAAGTGCTAGGATTATAGGCGTGAGCCACCACACCCGGCCCTGAGCAGTCCATCTAAAACACAAGCCCAACCTGGTTGTTGCCTTGTTTTAAAGCTTCCTGGGACTTTCCCATCCCTCTATGGGGGTTGGGGAGGGCAAGCTCTTCAGCTGGCAACGAAGCCTTGCGTGTTCTAGTGCCTTCTTGCTTGACCAGTCCCATTTCCTGCCTCAGTCCACAGCATCATACTGCATTTAGTTCGGTGAATCCCCTGTGCATTCTTAAACCTTTCCACCTTGCTGGCAAGTCAGTCTAGAATCCCTTTCTCAGCCTCTTGTTTGCTCGTGGCCTCCAGTTCTGTCTTGAAAATCCTGCTGATAACACCATCTCTTTGAAGCCTTCACTGAACTTCCCCTTCCTGACAGAGCTAATTACTCACTACCCTTTTCTGCTTCGGTATCTTGATTAGGCTTCCATTATTACAAGTAGATTATAGTGGGGTAATTACACATTTAACCATCTGATCACCTACTAGGCCCTGAGATCCATTCATCTTTTTTTTTTTTTTTTTTTTTTTGAGGTGGAGTATCACTCTGTCACCCAGGCTGGAGTGCAGTGGCACCATCTCAGTTCACTGCAACCTCCACCTCCCAGGTTCAAGTGATCCTCCCACCTCAGCAGCTGAGACTACAGGCATGTGTCACCACGCCCAGCTAATTTTTTGTATTTTCAGTAGAGCCTCTTTCCTTGGCTCCCAAATGGTTACCTTTTTGCTGTGTCCCCACGTGATTGTCCCTGAGTCTGTGTGTCTGTCCTCTTCTGATAAAGACACCAGTCCTATTGGATTAGAGCTCATCCATATGACCTTGTTTTATCTTAGTCACCTTTAAAGGCCCTTTCTCCAAACACAGTCACATTCTTTCACCATGTTGGCCAGGCTGATCTCAAATTCCTGACCTCGAGTGATCTATCCGCCTTGGCCTCCTGAAGCGCTGGGATTACAGGCATGAGCCACCATGCCTGGCCCATCCATTTGTCTTTGTATCACATAGCTCAGTGCCCACAATATGCAGGTACTCAACAAATAGTGGTCAGAATCAACGTACTTGGATTTCTGGGGCCTCGCAGCCCATGGGAGTGGCAGTGTAAGGGCCCGAGTTAGAGGTGGGCAGCCTCCCTCCTGCCGCCTCTCCTCACCATTGCTTTGAGTCCCATTGCTCTCAGCACAGCTGAGTGTCCTGGTGGCTGCCATCACTGACCTTTGTCTTTGGTTGCTGTAAACCTTTGAAGTACTAAGGAGTTGGCAGAATGCAGATGCAGGCCATCCGCGGAGTTGGCAACGACATGAGCATGGGCTACTGGGAACGAAGCAAGCTTTCTAAGGCTGAGTCACCATCAAGCCTGGCCTTTGTTTTGGCCCAGCAGCCGCTGAGGCCTTCTCAGCACTGTACCTCCACGCTCCATGTCTGGTTGGGCACCCCTAACAAAACACCATGGACTGGTGGCTTAAATGACAGAAATCTAATTTCTCACAGGTCTGGAGGCTGGAAGTCCAAGACCAAGGTGTCAGCAGGTTTGGTTTCTTGCGAAGCCTCTTTCCTTGGCTCGCAAATGGTTATCTTCTTGCTGTGTCCCCACATGATTGTCCCTGAGTCTGTGTGTCTGTCCTCTTCAGATAAGGACACCAGTCCTATTGGATTAGGGCTCATCCATATGACCTTGTTTTACCTTAATCACCTTTAAAGGCCCTTTCTCCAAAGACAGTCACATTCTGAGCTACTGGGGGTTAGGACTTCAGCCTATGAATTTGAGGGGGACACAGTTCAGGCCATCACACTCCTACCCATTCTTCAGAGGCAGGGACTGAGGAATCTGGCTGTGCTGCCTGTGACCTTTAACCCTATGTGAGGGCCTTATCCCTGCAGGAAACTGGAGGGTTTGGGTTTTTCTCCTTATATGGGCAATTGTGGATTTAATCCAAGACTCAGACATCTTTGGGCTCTAAGTGCGGCTGCTGCAGTGCTAATGAATGACTCACAGGCAGCATGGTGTCAGGTTGATAAAGGAGGCAGGTATGAGCAGAGGTATTTAAAGCCTGGAAACTAGGAATAACCTTGAAAACAGTCAGCGGGGCCACTGTTAGAGCAGTGTAGAGACAGACCACAGTCCACACCGCGTGACAGGCGGTGGTCTCACCCACCACATTCAGGGAATCAGGACGAGTCTGAATGTAGTGGGCAGTCCAAGGAATTTCCCAGGGTAACTCTGGTCACACTCAGCTCTGCCTTCTCCCTGCCTTTAAAGCCAGCTGCTGCCTAAGATGGGCTGGACCATGTGCCTTTTCTGAGTGAAGGAAGGATTGGGCTCGCGGGGGCTGGCTGAGGTCTGAGCAGGATGCTCCGTCTCTGCTTTGGTGCCGGGTTGTTTATGGTTTTCAGGTGACAGGTCCTGCAGCTAAGGCCCAAGGTCACAGCGCAGAGAGCTGACCTCTCCCTCCTTCACGCCGATGCCTGGCACATCATCTGGAGTTCCCTAGGACACAGTGCAGCCTCAGCAATGTGGAGGATCCCTGCCCCCTGGCAGGGGCCCCCATGTGGCACCCTGGTCCCCTTTTCAGGGTCTTCATGCAGCCAGGGCGAGTTGGCACCAGGCTCAGTCAAGGTGGGCCAGAGCTGTTGGCCGCAGGGCCGCCGTAGCCAGGAGGAGTTGGGAGAGATCCTCGCCGGCTGGCACCAGAGAAGAATACACCCCGAGGTGTGCGCTCCATCACTGATGTCTGTGCCGTGGCTCTGCCTCTGACCAGATGGCCCCAGCATACTTGCCAAAGAGTGAAGAAGCCCAAGGGGCTTGCACAGCTTTTGTCACTTGTGATACCATGGTGAGTGGAGTGGTTGAGCTGAGTATAGTGCTTAGCTGCTCTAAGCCTCAGCCTGCTCATCTGTAGAATGTGACCATGATGGCATCTACCAGTAGAGTCGTCATGGGGGATTGAGTGAGAGCATGTGTGTGATCACATGGTCAGTGCTCAGCCGGTCATAGGCATTATTATCATGGCAGAAACTGGGCTTCCTTGGAATATCCTCCATGAGCAGAGGTCCTGAACCCAGGCCACGATTCAGATCCTTCTTGCCTCACTCCTGGCACAGCAGGTGGCCCCTGCCAAGCTGGGACGCCTCCGTGTAGCAGCTGGAGACCAAGCAGCAATTAGATTTTCACAGGCTCCCACCGAGCTTGGGCATTTGGCTCCGCTGGAGTCATTCCCCTGGCTTTTTCAGGGCCTCACCAAGGCAGAGCGTCGGGTGTCACCAGACCAGCAGTGGTGCCAATTAAAATGAGTAAGCATCCAGCATGCTGGGCGAGAGCCTTGCAGCCGAGCCTTGGAGCTTTCACTTCCTCAGCCCTCCACATCTTCATGGGGGGGATCCTGTCTGTTGCCTCAGGCCCCCTGCCATGAGATGCCATCTCTTCCCGTCCCCCTTTCCCGCACACAAGACGCTGCCGCTCTAAATGGCAGTCGTGGCAGCTGGGTGCAGGCTGAAGCACCTGCCACTCTCCTCCCCACTCGCCTGGGGGAGGGCTGAGTTCACGTTTCCTCTGAGAGCGCTTCATGAGCCAGAACCGTGAACTTCTCAGCTTCCCCATCGGGGAGGCAATATGGGAGGGCTTGGATGGCTCACAGCAGCGTGCCGCTGGGGGCATCAGGTTGCAGTGCCCTCTGCGGGGAGGTTTCAAATGACAGCAAGGTAGCCCAGGAACAAACCTGGAGTGACGTCAATCTTGAGACAGCCCCCACGCCGCCTTCCTGCTCCAGGAGCCCTGGGTGGCTCTCCATTCTTGCCCTTGGCTAGAGTGAATCCTCTGGTTCGGACATCCTCTGACTGTCACCCTTCTCCCCGCAGTCAGGTATGCCTGGGGAGAGGATGTGCCTGGGTCAGGGTATGTGCAGTCATAATCATGGCCTGTGGGTGTTGAGCCCTCGCCGTGTGTCAGGCGGTATCCAAAGCACTTTTGTGCTGCTATCATTTGGTCCTCCCTCCCAGCAGATTTGGGGGGCCGTTACTTTCAATATCATCTCAAAGAAGAGGAAACGGAGGCTCTCAGAGGTTGAAACTTATCCAAGGTCACAAAGACACTTTGACTTCCTTTGAACCCATGTCTAGTGACTCCAGAACCAGTCTCTTACCTAGTATGCCCCCCTCCGTGAGGTAGAGCTCTGTGGAAGAGGTAGCATTTTAGGCTGAATTTCTTTGTTTCCCAAAAGGAAGTTGGTTTCTATCTTTATCCTTTTTTTAAATTAAACTTTTATTTCCTCCAAGGCAATTATTCTAAATGGAGTTCCATACCTAGAGCTCCCTTTCATATTGTAAAAATAGCACAACTGATGGCGTTTCATGGTGAAGCTGTGTTGGATCATCCCAGAGAAGCTCCGAGACAGGGCAAGTGAACACCAGACCACAAAGGACAGCTACAGTGTCACCATCTGTGGAAACTAGGCTTTTCCCCCATGCACGCCTTTTCCTGATTCTTCCTCTGCATAGAGACATTTGGCTACTTTTTCCATCATGGTGGTTAGAACAAGAAAATTTGGGCGGAAAATGGGAGTTCTCAGGAGCCAAGATTTGGGCCTGGGAAAGGAAGGATGAAGAGGAGCAGTTTGGAGCGGGGCATGAGGTTAGACTCTCAAGGCCAGGTGGGCTTGCTGAGGGCAGTGATCCTCTGAGGTTGTTGACTCCCAGTGGCAGGTGACCCCTTATCAGGACTTGCCTGGTAGAAGTCCCTGGACTGAGCCAGATAACTAAATTGGGACCATTGGTGCTTGTGTTGCCTTTTGTACCGGGTACCCTTTACGCCTTGTTTGCTTTTTGTTGGAGATATTTATCTCCTTGTAAAAAGTGCAGTTCTTTCCCTACCCCAGTCATGAGGCTCTGGCTCAGAGGAGGTACAAGATTGTAGCAAAAAATTTGAGAGCTGGGCCACCCTGGGGCCTGCCGGACCAGGGGCATACTGGGGCCAGTGTGCACTCTCTGAAGGGACAACTGTGATTTATTCTGGCTAATCATTGTCGTGTAGGATCACAGGCTGATTGCTAGCACATTTGCCAGTTTTTCAAAAGAAATTAGAACCTATATTTTTAATCAAAAGTCTTTTGATTTGTAAATAGTGGCAACCAATTCATATATGTCTTCAATGTATAGTGAAATCTGGTCAGTAGGCTGCCCCTGCTCTCTCTGACGTAGAACATACCGATTCACCCTTTGTTTTCTGTTCAGAGCAGACTACTTCAAATTAAGGAAAAGAGTACAAAACCAACAACAAACTCTCCATGGCCCTTGAGGTTATCTTCCTCTTCCAGTGGCTTCCAGTGGGAATCAGAACAGGTCAGGCAGTCTCCTCTTTGCCACTAAATGCTTTGCCCAAAGAAAGACCAGATTTCATTTGGCTTTGGGATCAAAGCTGGGGCTGGAGGGTGGAGGTGTCAAGCCAGGCCAGGCAAAGGGAGATTTGAAGCCAGAGCAGGTGGGCGCATCTCCCAGGAAACCCTGCATCATTCTTTCCTGGTGATTCTTTCCTTCTTTGTTATGGTTCACATGAGTCTATGGAGTGCTCATTCTACATTCTCCGTTCTTATCTTCATCCTATGCAACTTTAGACCGCTACTGTTTTTTAAAAGTGATTTGATTTGGGCTGTAACCTTTTTTTATTGTTGTTAGCTTTGACTTTGAAATGTGTAATAAAGATTCAAGTGAGCATTAGAAGTTTTTTTAAAAGTAGTGGTTTAAAAAAAAAAAAAAGAAAAAAGTGATTTAATAGCTGGTCTTCTTTTTTCCTTAAATCGTCACTTTCTTGTCAACTGAAAAACTAAGTCGAGTTACTAAAATGGCCGCACATTTAGGACTTAGAACAGCTGCCCTGGAAGTTAGAAGAAGTGCGTCAAGTATAGTTACAGCTTGGTCTGGTTGGCAGTGAGATGAGTATAGAACATGCTGCTTTTGTGGTGTATAACTCTAGAAGGGTTTAGGGGAGGTGGACATGGCTTCCCAAGAAGGTGGAAGATGGGGGCAGGAGGAGATGGCGTGCTTCCTCTTGGTGAGGGGTTGGGGTAGCATCCAGATTGGCTTTAGAGATCGGATTAAGCTTGAGTGTGCTGAGTGTCTAAGGAGATGAACAGGAAGTGAAAGATTCTCCCAGAAGAAAGGAATAGGGGAGGAAAGGTATACATGTGCTGGAGTGGGTGGCATCTGAGTCAGAGGGTTGGGGAGAAAGGTTAGATCCAAATCTTGAGGGTCTCCTTGCCTGCACTCCTAGAGCCATACTGAAGAGGAGCTGGACCTTCATCCTGGGGTGGCGGAAAAGCCCCGGGCACTTTAAGCAGGGGAATGACCATTGTTTTTCAGGGTAGTGTCTGAACATTCATTCATGCTGCCCTGGCAAGAGCAGTTGGCAATGATGGCAAGACCGGGCAGTGTGGAGGTGGCCCAGGGACACGGGGTGCCTACTGTGTTTTGCCTGAACTGTGTTTTAAGAGGCTGCATAACCAAGCAGTTGCTGTGCACGTACAGCTTGGCATCTGAGTCTCCCACCCCCCGGCACCCCATGTTTGTTACCTGCCTGGTGCCTGTAGGCATTTGAGTTTGTAGCCCCTGGTTGAATTCTGACGGTACAGCCCTTTGGCTGGACACCATGCAGCTCAGCCAGGGGAGTAGCAGAAGATCAACTATGGACAGGTGTGACTTAGGAAGAGGTGGAGTTTGGGGTGCTGGGGAGAGGGACCGAACATCCCAGGGAGGGGAAATGGCATAGGCTGAAGTAAGGAGGGGGGTTGCAGTGAGTCGAGATTGTCACTGCACTCCAGCCTGCCTGGGTGACAGAGCAAGACCCTGTCTCAAAAAGAAAAAAAAAAAAAGAAGTAGGAACTCTTCTGAGACCCACACCCTGGACGGGGCCAGAGACTAGCATGCTGGGGGCAGATTGGATTTGGGTGTGGTTACATGCACTCTGGGGTCAGACCCACTGAGTTTGAATCCAGCCCTGACTTCTCCTGCTGGGACTTTGGGCAGATGATGTAACCTCTCTAAGCTTTGATTTCCTCATCCGTAAAATGACACTAATATTAGTATTACCTTTTAGGACTGTTCTGAGGTTTATACAAGATAGCATGCCTCACACAACTAGCACAGTGCCTGGCTTATACAGAATGAGCATTGGGTGGATGTCAGCCATTATAATTAGGGTCAGGGGTCAGAGCAGGCATATCTGTTTTACAGAGTGCCTAAAATGCTGATGGCAGGAGTTTGGACCTGGTTGAGTTGGGCATGGGAGCTGCTAAATGTGTTTGGGCCAGAAAGCAAGTGATGACAGAGCATCTTCCTGCTGACATCTTGCCAGCTCGGGATGCTGTCTCTAGCCAACTTGATAAGCCCTGAGCTTAGAAACCCTGGGGTGGGTCAGCCCTGAATAGGGGTTACTTTTCCCTCTGGAGATTGAGAGGTGGATGGAGAGGAAACTGCCAGGCTATTCTGCAGTAGTAGGAGCCGGATTTGGCATTTTTCTCTCTGTGTCTGTCTCCCTGACCAGTCACTGAACTTCCCCAGGTCCCAGAAGCTCAGCTCAGTAGCTCAGTTCCTACTTCTTTTTTTTTTTTCTTGAGTTAGAGTCTTGCTCTGTTGCCCAGGCTGCAGTGCAGTGGCACAGTCTCGGCTCACTGCAACCTCCGCCTTCCGGGTTCAAGCAATTCTAGTGCCCCAGCCTCCCCAGTAGCTGGGATTACAGGTGTGCACCACCGCACCCTGTTAATTTTTTTGTATTTTTAGTAGAGACGGGGTTTCACCACATTGGCCAGGCTGGTCTCAAACTCCTGACCTCAAGTGATCTGCCCACCTCGGCCTCCCAAGGTGCTGGGATTACAGGCGTGAGCCACCATGCCTGGCCAGTCCCTACTTCTTAAGAGGCACTCAGGAAGCATCTGGACAATGCTGAACAGATGAGGACTTTCATAGGCTCACCTGGCCTGGGGTCTGGCCCAGGAGGGTGCTCTTTGATGAGAAACATCCCAGCGGTATTGGGCATGGAGGAAGCAGCTAGTGAAAGAAAAGCAGAGCTGATGGGAGGAAGATGTTTGACTGTGCCCAGCCCTGCCACATATCTCCCACTTTGCCCTCCCTAATCCCACCACACCCAGCTCTTAGGATCAGAAAGTACGTTGAAGTTCCAGGGCCACTCTCCTGAATAAAAAGTGTGGCTTCTGTTTCCGGCAGATAAGTTCCTGCTTTGTTCCAGTGCACTGACACAGTCCCCTGAACAACCCATCTTGGGTTGATCAGGAAGTTCTTAGTCTGTTCAGATGGCAGCCTACCTCTCATTTTATCATCCTCCTTCACGATAAAGCCCTGATGTTCTGCCTTTCCCACTTAGTGGAGAAACCTATCCTCATAGCCACACTTCCGGTATTGAGGAATTGGCATCTTGGAATACAGCTTGGGTATTTGGATGACAAATTATTAAAAATATTCTGATCTCTTTGCCCACATATTTTAGCTGTAGAAGCAAGCAGAGAGCATCATGTTACTGCAGCAGCAGTGCCGCTTATTTTTTTTCCTTAAAAAACATGATTTAGGGGTCCTAGTTTTGGTGGCTTCCTGCTTCAGCAGCATTTGGAAGACTTGCAGATATGTCCTGTGAGTGCCACGTGGGTGTGACCCCTGCTCCTTGGCCTGGCAACAATCCAGTAGCTGTATATTAGAGTGTCCTTTTTGCTACCTTAAATGACCAAGTCTTCCCCAGAGCCATTCTTGCTATCTCTTGCTATCCACCTGCCTCGGCCTCCCAAAGTGCTGAGATTACAGGCATGAGCCACCACTCCTGGCCCTTCCTGTTTATTTAGCTGAAGGCCTTGAGAGCCTTCCCTAACCTTTGAGGATAGTGGTTGTGTTTCCACAGTCTCTCATTCTCCAGGTATGCTGTTTATACCTCTTTCTCTGCTCTTCACGGCACAGAGACCCACTCGCTCCCCAGCACCGGGATGTGATCGATTTGATGATTGAATCAGAGTTTGCTTTGTGCCATGATGGATTGTGAGAAAATGGAGTTTTGATGAATTAGGTAATTTAAAATACGGGTGGGAGCCAGGCGCAGTGGTTCACCCTGTAATCTTAGCACTTTGGGAGACCAAGGCGAGAGGATCACTTGAGGCCAGGAATTTGAGACCAGCTTGGACAACATAGTGAGACCCCATTTCTAAAAAGAAGTTAAAAAAAGTTAGCCAGGTGTGGTGGTGCACACCTGTAGTCTCAGCTCCTTGAGAGGCTGAGGCATGAGGATTGCTTGAGCCCAGGAGTCTGAGACTGCAGTGAGCCATGATCACACTACTGCACTCGAGCCTGGGCATAGAGTAAGACCCTGTCTCTAGAAATACATATATACATATATATTTCAAAATAAAATATAGGTGGGAGGGCTAAGTTTGGCAAAGAATCCTTTCGTAGTATGAATAATACCCATTCTGTTCATCCAGCATCAAGCAGGGTTTTGTGAATCCTGCTCCCCCCAGCTAGGGCTTACCTGGTTTGTGAGTTTCTTTCTTGTGTCTCCCTGATGCCTGTTTGAGATGACTGGGCAGGGCAGGGCAGGAAGGTAGAGGCCTAACCCAGTGTAATGCCTGGGTGTTAATGGCTGTTGTTTTAGGTGCTGATGTTTTACACAGCTGTGCCTCTTTCTGGTAGTACAAGTTTTGCAAAGGCAGGGATCATGTCTCTTCTACACATATTCTGGGCACAATAATAGACATAATAGAAGTTGCATATCTGGGAGTGAGTCACCGGTTTCCAAAAACATCCAGGGTCCCAGGTGACTGTCACAGCTAAACCAGCCCCTGGAGCCACTGGAGGGTGACAAGGAGACTCATTCACATGTGATCAGACCAGAAGTAGCCCAGCAGGGCATGGCGTTGCTGCCCCTAGGAACAGCCTACTTTTTGGATGTTTGGGTCTCTGCTTCCAGCTTCGAACTCCCCAGGAGCCCACACATGTCCAATCCCAACCTTCCTTCCATCTAAGCTTCCCCGTCGCCGCCCTACCATTTGTAGACTGCCTGTCTCTCTTTTTTATCTCTCTTTTTGTTAGATTGGGATTTTATTATTTTTTTTTCCTAATTCTTTCAGCACTTGCTGAAAACCAGCTTGGGCAGAGCGACCTGTGCTTAGTGCTGGCTAATGGCTTGGAGCTGCTCCAAGCTGCCGGCTGCGCTGCCTTTCACTTGTGGGTGGTCGTCGACAAGCATGATGTCTTCTCTCTGTGACTCTCGAGGGGCCTCTCTTCTTGCGGGCTCGGCTGTTCACACTTGGCTGGCCTGCCTGGTTGTTTGGAATTGCAGTTTTTACTGCACAGCCTCGAGCCAGTCTGGTAGCTTCAACAGGGCGCAGATTTTATGAGTGCTAAAGTCCACTCAGCCTCCAGCCTAGTTGGCCCATTTGATTTTGTTGCATGTTGTTTTTTGCTATTTCCTCTTGGAGACCAGACGCCGTCCAGAGTGTATGGGGACACAGAAGTCTATAAATGGAGGTGGCTTGGGAGATTCTTAGGCTGTGATGAATGTGTGTCTATTGAGGAGTGATGGTACCTGCTGGTGTCTACAACGGTTGAACATTTTCTGAGTGTCGCGCAGTCTGCAAAGGATGGGGTTGAATTTCTGGCATCGTCTCTTGATAGCTGAACATCCTTGAATGAGGAGCTGAGCTTGTTTTTTCCTAAGTTGCAGTTTCTTCATTGTAAAATCAGTATATGATTGTCTACAGTCAGAGTCTCAACCCATGAGTAGGTAATTGAAGGACTTTCTGCATTGAGGATGTGAACCTTTCCTCCGTTCTCACATTCTTCCGGTTCCTCTTAAGGGATGTGAGTTGGTAGTTTGCATTTTCTGAAGTGTTGTAGCAGTTGAGGGACAGTAGTTAACTTCCTTGACTACCATTCCTGTTGTGTTGCAGGGAGAATTAAAAATCAAGCAGCTCCATCTCCTGCCCATTCTTTTTTTTTTTTTTTTTTGGAGACAGAGTCTCACTCTTGCCCAGGCTGGAGTGCAGAGGCACAATTTCGGCTCACTGCAACCTCGGCTTCCCAGGTTCAAGTGATTCTCCTGCCTCAGCTTCCCGAGTAGCTGGGATTACAGGCATCTGCCATCATGCCTGGCTAATTTTTGTATTTTTGTAGAGATGGGGTTTCACCATGTTGGCCAGGCTGGTCTTGAACTTCTGACCTCAGGTGAACTGCTCACCTTGGTGAGCCTCCCTAAGTGCTGGGATAACAGGCATGAGCCACCGCTCCTGGCCACTCCTGCTCATTCTTTAGGGTGGCTTCTTGATTTCCATTGTATTTTCCTTTATTCACAATGCTCCTTTTGGGCTGCCTTCCCCACCAACAGAAAGGGAAACTGAAGCAAAAGGAAGGGAAGGCCGAAAGCAGTGCCTGGCCATTGACTGCATAGGAATTCAGGGCCCTGGAGAAGTGGCAGGCCTAGGCCATCAAGCTCTCTGTGGGATGTAGCTGTCCTCCAGCTGTCACTTCCCCAATGTGCCCATGCTTGCTTCATGGCCGCCTCACCTCTTGTTACTCTTCTTCTGAACAAAGCCACCTGCAGCAGCAGCAGCAGCAGATCCAGGTGCTGGGGCGTGGCCAGTGTTCATGGAAGCCGGGTCCAGCCAGCCCCCAGGTGTTTCTGGTTAAGGACTAGAGCGGACTTTTGATCTGTGCTGAGTGGATGCCATCAGCTGACACATCAGTAGCCTTCATGCAGCTTGAGTCTCAAGCCAAACTTGTTCTTCCGAGCACTGGCTTTCTGCTGACCTCTTGCAGGGGAACCAGAGCGCACCAGTGCACAGTGAAAAATGCCTTTAATCTCCATTTGCTCTTCTCCGGCTCCCTTCCTTGTCCCTGGGTGTTTCACAATTAGCATTTCAGATGCTTCCAAGTGAATATGGAACAGATGTTCGCACAGGTGCTGTACTCTTCACTGGGTAAACAGTGGCGTTTGCGTGCCTCTGCGTGTGTGTGTGTGTGTGTGTGTGTGTGTGTGTGCGTGTGTGTGTATGAGACAGCAGGAAGCATAGGGCCTTTACAAATGTTTTTTAAAGCGTCTAAAACACTTTACACATGACGGGTACTCAATAAATACTTTGTGAGTGAGTGAGCAGTGGCAGGGAAAGCCCTTTGTTTCATAATAAACCCAGTGGCATGGGAGCAGGAAGTACAATTCCAAGTTGGGTCTTGAAATTCATGGACTAAAGAAGAAGTCATGTCCTGCCTCACCAAGAAATTACCCGTGGACATCTGGCAAACCGGGGGGCATGCTGTAGGGACAAGACACAGTTCTCCATCTCAGGAAGGAGGATTAGACAATAAAAATGACCGTGGCGGCCCCTGGCAATTTAATCTGCCTCACGAATGTGAGCTGGCCACGGCTGTGCTGGGAAAAGGAACTTGCGGTTTTGCCCATGCAGAATGTTTGCAGATGGGTTAGGGAGTTAGCCAGGACTGACCTCCTTGGCTGTGTTTTTCCAAGTAGCACACCTGATCAGGTTGCTCCACACCATTAGTCCCCAGTGGCTCAAGTCCAGGCCCTCAGCATGGCTTTCCGCCTGGCCTACACCCCCAGCCTTGCGGAAACAGTGGAGGGAAAGGTGAGGGCTTGGCTGCCCGTCGTTTCCTCCCTCTGTGACCTTGGGCAAGTCACTCAGCTTCTCTGGGCCTTAGTTTCACCCTCTGTAAACTGGGGATAATAATCAAGTCTTGTTTGTAGGGCCTTTGTACACTTAGAAGAATTAATTAACGTAAAGCCCTTTCAACCGTGTCTGGTGTGTGGTAAGTACTGAATGCGAATCGTGGCTGTTACCTTTGCCCACTGCGTCATCCTGGTCACTGGTCTCTGGCACTTTAAGCTTCAGAATTACAGAACCCTCTGCAGTTTCTCAGACGTGCCCTGCTGTTGAAGTCTCTGTGCTCTCTGAATGACTATCCTTGTTTCTAGAATGTGCCACTCACCCCATCCCCATCCACCCTGTGAATACCTCCTCATCCCTCATGCTTGAAATGCCAGCCCTGGCATTCCCCTGAGTTCCTCCCTGCCACTGGCCACCAGCCCCCACGGAGGGCCCTTGTCATCCCAGCCCATTTTAGATCTCAGTGCACCAGAGTCACGATCCTTCATTACCTACTGATGGAGAGTTCCATGAGGGCGAGGGCCATGGTTTCACCTTTTCTAATCCAACACCTAGCACAATGCCTGGTATACAGTAAGTGCTGAATAAATGTCTCCTCAAATTAAACCATATGTGTTTGCATGTAGGTGGTCAGTCTTTTAAAACTACATCTGGCCGGGTGCGGTGCCTCACACCTGTAATCCCAGCATTTTGGGAGGCTGAGGTGGGTGGATCACTTGATGTCAGAAGTTCAAGACCAGCCTAGCCAACATGGTGAAACCCCATCTCTACTAAAAATACAAAAATTAGCCAGGCCTGATGGCGGGCGCCTGTATTCCCAGCTATTTGGGAGACTGAGGCACAAGAATCACTTGAACCCGGGAGATGGAGGTTGCAGTGAGCCAAGATCGTGCCATTGCACTTTAGCCTGGATGACAGAGTGGGACCCTGTCTCAAAAAAAAAAAAATACTACATCCTCCCTTTTTCTCCCCAAAATTATCATGTGATTTATTAAGACTAGAGGCCAGGCACAGACTCATGCCTGTAATCCCACTCCATGGGAAAGCATGGCTCATCCCTATAATCCCAGCACTTTGGGAGGCCGAGGTGGGTGGATCACCTGAGGTCAGGATTTTGAGACCAGCCTGGCCAACTTTGTGAACCCTGTCTCTACTAAAAATACAAAAAATTAGCTGGGTGTGGTGGCAGGCACCTATAATCCCAGCTACTGAGGAGGCTGAGGCAGGAGAATCACTTGAACTTGAGAGGTGGAGGTTGCAGTGAGCCAAGATTGTGCCACTGCACTCCAGCCTGAGCAACAAGAGTGAGACTCCATCTCAAAAATAAATAAATAAAAATAAAAATAAAATAAAAAAAGTTTAGAAAGGTGTTCTCAAGGCAATGTTTGCAACCTTAGGATGTCTGTTGTGTGTTCCTCATGTGGACGGTTAGGAAGTGGGCATCTCAGGCTGCAGTCACTGCCCCCGATGATTTTGATGTGCTCATTTCCCAGCCCCTCTCCCTGCCTACATTCTCCTCTGTCCCCTAACTCCCAAAAGCCTGTTTCTGATCTGCACCCCTCCTGCCTTTCCATGTCTTTCACACTCCATTTATAGAACTGCTCTCCGCTTCCTTGCCCCATCCCCTGCCAGTTCCAGGCTCCCTGGGCCTGGCCTCATGGATGACAGTGAACCTCTCTGGACTTGGCCACTTAGGTCCCTTTCAGGTGGCCGGAAACAGAGTTAGAGGAGACACAGGGCATTATCCTGACCACTTTCACACCAGAGTCCCTCCCTCTAGAACAGGGCTTGACCCGTGGTACTGCCCCGTTGAGCCTTTCTTTTTCCCTTTCCTCCTTTGGCTTAAGCCTTTGGCAGGACAGATTTTGGGCTGGAGGCCAGCAATTCAACTGGGAGGGCTCTGTGCCAGTTCTTGCCTTTCTGAAGGTTGGTACATTTGCCCAGGGCTCTGCTTGGGTTTGGAGCCTTTACTAACGTGTGTCAATAATGCGGGTCCACCTTCCATACCATCTTGCAACCAATTATCAGAAAGAGAAGGCCTGAGCAGGGGGATGTGCATTTTGCTTTCTTTCGGCGTAGCATCTCATGCTAGATTTTTATCTGGGGGCCTTTGAAGAGCCAGCCGGCACAGAAGCATGGTGGCAACGCTGTGCCTGGAAAACTCATCAGTGTCACTCTGGTTTATTTTCCTCTCCTCTTTGAGCTCTTTCCCATGGTGTGGGGCTCTCAGTGACAACTGGCAAGCGGCGGGGCGGTTGCTCGTTGTCATTCTGGTAGGCGCTGGTTTCCGGAGGGCTCCGAGTGCTTTGTGAGTATTCGCATTTGTTTCTGAGATGCTGGGAGCACGGTTGGCACTGGTCCCAGTTTCTGGATGAAGAAACTGAGGCTCTGGGGATTAAGATCGTGAACTGTGGGGAGTGGAGGAGGCACAGCTGGAGTGAACTTGGGTGTCCAGGGTTCTGTTTCGTCTCACAGAGGATGTGCGAGGGTGTATGTGTGCATTTGAGAATGTGTGAGGTTGTGTGTGTTTAAGAAAATGAGAATGAGGCTGGGCACAGTGGCTCATGCCTGTAATCCCAACACTTTGAGAGGCTGAGCTGGGTGGATGACTTGAGCCCAGGAGTTCAAGACCAGACTGGGGAACATGGTGATGAAACCCTGTCTCTACAAAAAAATACAAAAAATTAGCAGGGCATGGCAATCCATGCCTGTAGTCCCAGCTACTTGGGAGGCTGAGGTGGGAGGATTGCTTGAACCCAGGAGATAAAGGCTGCAGTGAGCCATGATCGCACCACTGCACTCCAGCCTGGGCAACAGAGTGAGACCCTGTCTCCAAAAAAAGAAAGAAAGAAAATAAAAAGGAGAGAGGTTAGAAAAGGGGGCTGGGCGCGGTGGCTCACGCCTGTAATCCCAGCACTTTGGGAGGCCGAGGCGGGCGGATCACGAGGTCAGGAGATCGAGACCATCCTGGCTAACACGGTGAAACCCCGTCTCTACTAAAAAAAAATACAAAAAATTAGCCGGGCGTGGTAGCGGGCGCCTGTAGTCCCAGCTACTCGGGAGGCTGAGGCAGGAGAATGGCGTGAGCCCGGGAGGCGGAGCTTGCAGTGAGCCGAGATCGCGCCACTGCACTCCAGCCTGGGCGACAGAGCAAGACTCCGTCTCAAAAAAAAAAAAAAAAAAAAAGAAAAGAAAAGGGGTAGGCCCCTCAGTATCACCCTTCCTGAGAACAGTCATTCTCTGCTTTTTCTGATCAGAGCTCCCTCCCAGGAGGGGCCCTTTTATCCAAAGCGATCTCTGGCCCAGGCACCAAAGAAAGGCCCCAGTGGTTTACGCAGCCGGGCTGCCCCCTGCGCCTGCTGGGTGAGGGGTGGGTCGTGGAAGCCTTCCCCTCCTGCCTGTTCTTTCCTGCTCCTCCCCAGTGCATCTTTATAGCTGGCATATGGAAACTGTTTCTATTTATCTGGCACCACCAGGACGCTGCTGCATGCTGTGCTCCAGCAAACAGAAACCTTGGATTCCCTGCAGGGTCATTTCCGATGTGGCGTGCAAAGCAGCCAGCTGTTTCGAGGGAGCGTCTGGGCCCTGTGACATCAGCATGTGGGAGTGTTACCGTGTGTGCAAACAGGTCATTCTGGTTTGTCTGCCTGTCCTCTGCACCGGGATGTCTCTCCTGCTTCGAGTCAGAGTTTGCGTTGTTGTTTTGTATTCTCATGCCTGTCAGTTCAGCTGTTTCTTTCCACTCCTTCCCGTCCTCTGAGTGGTTTTACGTTCTCTCCTCCGGGCTGATTGCCAGGATTCAGGGAGGGAGGTTAAGGGGCTGGTGCCACATAAATCTTTAGTGGCCAAAGTCTGCAGGCCTGCAAGGCTGCGCCTGTCCTCTTGGTCTGGTTTTCCCAAGAGAGCTGTCTGCCCAGGGCACCAGAAGGGCAGGACAAAATGTTTCCCTTCGTGGAACTTTCCCCAGAGGCCCAGAACAGAGATGCAGAATACAGTCTTCCTGGTTGCCAAGAGTGTTCCTGGTCAGCCTCCTCTGGTCCTTTCTGAAACCTGCATGTGGAGCTTGCTGGCTGTGGGAGCCAGGGAGACTGCAAATCCTGCCCGCCTGCCCACGCTGCTGCTCATCTCCCTCCCTCCTATGTCCGGCCCGGTTGCCTCCCAGGAAAGGTAAACATGCAGAGGCAAGGGCTAGCTGCCGGCCTTCTGGAGGAGGCAGTGGAGGGCCAGCTTCCTGACAGCCCCGTGGTGAGGTCGTCCTGTCTTCTCAAGCTGGGCCCCTGCGACGTGCCCCAGTTCCTGCCTTTCCAGCTGGCCTGGAAGAACCCGTTCTGCTCTGGGCAAGAACAGTGCCAAGGTCAGAGGCCAAAGGTGTTGCTTCTTCCGTGGTCCGTAATGAGCACCAGTTGGAGAGGGCCAGCCCCGGCACACAGAGGAAGGGGCTGGACTGGGGTGATGCGGGGTGAGCCTGCCCGGTCACTTTGTTGGCTAGGATGCTTCCTGTGCTTTCTGTGCCTGGTACTCCAAAGATGCGAGTGCCAGTCATTGACCTGGAGGTTCTGCCCAGGGTCTGTGGGCAGTAGGAGGTCAGAACAAGGCACCAGGCCACTAGAGCAGGTGGGTGTAAACAACTGTTGGCATTCGAGGCTGCCCAGGTAGAGGTCCTGGAGTGAACCCAGTGGGCACGATGGGCTTCAGTGGGGCAGAGTGTCCTCTAGCTTCACACACAGTGCTGATGACTCAGGCCAGCTGGGGGCCCCTGCACATGCTCTTAGTTCCCACGTGGAGGGTATTCATTTTGAGGAAGCTGGGCCTGCCGGGATTGGTTCCCCAGCAAGCAGGGGCTCATTCTCCCAGAAACCACTCCATCTGCACTCACACCCTGACTCACCAGGCTCACATCCTGACTTACCAGGACTTGGCTATCAGCCTGTCCCCTTTGATCTGCCCCTTCTGCCCCCTGCCTTCCCGCTTTCTGGGCCTGAAATGTCCTCCTCAGAAAGCTGCCGAGCCTTCGAGCATACCTTCTGCGGGAACAACGCAGCACTCGGAGTGGGAGCATATCCATTGTCCCTTCAGCCACTTCTGCAACCTCTTAAGTGGGGAAGAGGGTTAGACAGCAGACAGGGCAGGGGATTAGCACTCCACGAGGTGGCCCAGCCCCACCCGGCCCCTGCCGTGCCCTCGTCTTGGCTGGTACAGCTGCACTGCTGCGTGAAGGCCACGTACAAAAGGAACAGAATGGAACTGTGGCTCCTCGCCTTCCATTTGCACCCTTTCTATAATCCCTAAATATGTAGCCCAGTTGCTCGTGCCTTGATGTGAAGGAGGCCCTTTGCGATCACCTGTGGCTTTCTTGAAAAGTCCCTGAGTGGCCAGTGTCACCCCAGGCCTTCCATCCCTCTCTCCGTGTGGAGAAATGAGCGATCATGCTTTGCCTTTTGGGACCACATGAGCACTCCAAGTCCTGTTTTCTGAGGTTGAGTGGTTAGAAGCACAGAACAAAGTCCGTCCTGGGAGGGGGAGAATTCGCTGTTCTTTCACCTTAGCTCTTGAGTCTTATTCTCCCCTTTCCCTTTCAAGGTTCTACCCTGAATTACTCTTAACACAAAACAGCCCCTCTTCCGCAGATCCTTAAAAGAAAGGTTTTTACAAATACAAACTTACCACATCACACCCCTTCCTAACACCCTTTGGCGCTGCCCACTGCACCCCGGGTGGAGCCCGCCCTCTTGCCCGAGGCCTGCCAGGCCCCACGGATGGCTCCTTGTTCTCCGCCCTCCAGGCCCTGGCCATCCTTAAGTGCCCCACGGGGGTGTGTGGAATCTTCAGGGCTAGCAAGACCTTCTATTTCACTTCAGTTCAGACATGTTTGCTGACCACTTACACATTGTGTACAACGCTGTTCTGGGGCCTGGGAACACCACAGTGACCAAAACAAAAGTCCCTGCCCTCTTGGAGCTGACATTCCAGGCGGGGAAACAGGCCCACGATTAAACAGATACCCTGTCAGGTGGTGACAGCCCCAGGAGGAAGCCTCAGCGCTTTGAGGGGACGGAGTGATGTGGTCTCACCTTGTAGGGGAGGCCAAGGGTAGCCTCTGATAAAATGTTTGTGGAAACTGGAAGGTGTGACAAAGCAGCCAAAGATCGGGGAGGCAGAGGCCCCAAGGCGGAGTGTTCCAGGCACGTTTCAGAACAACAAGGAGGTTAGCATGGCGGCAGCGAGGGGCAGGCAGGACGAGGTGACTTGGAGAGGTTGCGGGTCAGGTTCCACGAGACCCTCTGATCAAGGGAGGCTGGGGCACGTTTGGGGCAGAGGAGTGATACCATTTGGCTTAGTGTTCTTTAGGATTTTTGTTATATTAAACAAAAAAGTTACCTAAAAACACACACACGCACACACACGATAGAGGATTTCTCTGACTGGTGTCAAGAATAGGCCACAGAGGGAAGAACAGACAGTAGGAAGACAGAGAAGGGATTGTGCTAGTCTAGGGGAGAGCTGTTTTGGGCCACAGTGTGGCAGGGGAGCTGGTGAGAGCGAGGTCTTGTGGGCCAGGTGCAGCACCTATTTGTGGGCCTTTCAGCTGATTGTGGGAGAGGAGGAGCCTCCTGATTCCTGAGGCCCCTCCTGCCCCAAGATTCTCTGTTGGTGCAGCTGTTCCATTCAGCACCGGTATGGCCAGGAAAATGTGGTCTCAGTCACCCCAGGGCCTTCTCCTGCCCCCAGTCACTTGTGGCCCATAAGAGTGCATCCCAAGAGCCCTGGCCAATGGAGGGACCGTCTGTGCGAGAACCGGCCACGTGTTCTCTTTGATTTGGGTCATAGATGCTAAGCCTGTTTCACAGCTGTATGCTGTCCATCAGAAGAGACAGTGGCCGGCGTACCGCACGGCAGACAGTGGGTCAGCGGAGCCACCCCCTACATTTCTCTAGTGAGAGGTGAGTGGCAGATGATTGTATGAAGGAAAGCTCTGGATGGGGAGCCAGGAAGCCTGGATGCTAGACCTGGCGCTGTAACCAATTGGCCCTATACCATGGGGACATCACGTTCCCTGCCCTCAGTTTCCCCATCTCTAAAAGCTGGGCAATGAATTAGGTGGTCTCTAGGATCTGCTCCTGACCTGACAGTCGTTGCTTCTAAGACAACAGCAGAAAGTGCCTACAATTCACGCAGGAGAGCTACGCAGCAGCGCTTCCCATACTCTGCAGCAGAGGACCTCTACTTCCATAAAACACAACAAAAACGAAGTACTAGGAGAAGGAAGTGCCGCACAGTGCCACCTGCGGTGATGGCCTCTACACGCTGGCTCTGGTTCCTGGATGGTTCTCATCCCCGACCATGGCACACCATTAATGGACTGTGCAGACCATGTGGAATGACACCGCCCACAGTTAGAGTGGTTCCAAGCACAGACCTCATTTATTCTCCAGCTCCGTCACTTTCTAAATGTGGGAGCCCCCGGACAAGCTGACCAATCTCTGTGCTTCTGTCCCATCACCCTTCTTCTGAAATGGGGATGCTGATGGTATCCACCTCCTAAGGTTGATGCGAGGATGAAGTTATTTCACCTATAAAGTGCTGAGACTAGTGCCTGCCTCACAGAATTTGTTCCGCAAGTGTTTGTGTGTGTTATTTTAGCGGAAGCTGAGCTGCTGAGATTGGGGCTAGATTTGGGGGCTGCAGTTAATCGGGAGGTGGGAGAGGGACGCGTGTGCTAAAAAAAGATGCCATTGCCCTCCCTAAGCAGCAAGGAAGTGTTTGTGGAAGGCTTTTGGCGCCAGCAGGATCTAGGCAGCTGGGCCCTGCTCAGATTGTGGCACTGCCAGCTCTCTGGGGCAGCTCTGCAGTTTGGAGCTGCTTCTGAAGCCATCTGCACCCACCTGCCTGCTCCCCTTGAAGTCACCATATACCTGTAAACATGTAGATGCCACAAGTTGCAGGGGCAGCTAGTTCAGCTGCTCACTGGCTGGTGAACCTCTTCTCTATTGAAATGTCCATAACCAATAGCTGTGGAGCCTCTTTTTGAGGCCACGTGGTGATGGGGTACTCACTGCCTCTGTGGACAGGTGCCCCTGGAGGGCAAGGGCTGCCTAGTTCCTACAGTCCCCACTAAGGGCCCAGCACCTAGGAGCTGACCTTGGGCAGGGACAACCCTGGGAATGTCTGCTAAACAAAGGAGTAGATGAACAGGCCAGTTGTTGGTCTTAGAATATTTTCATTAAGAATTATTTCCCGGCCAGGCGCAGTGGCTCACGCCTGTAATCCCAGCACTTTGGGAGGCCAAGGCAGTTGGATCACTTGAGGTCAGGAGTTTGAGACCAGCCTGGCCAACATGGTAAAACCCCGTCTCTTCCAAAAAATACAAAAATTAGCCGGGTGTGTTGGTGCACGCCTGTGTGTTGGTGCATGCCCAGCTACTCAGGAGGCTGAAGCACAAGAATTGCTTGAACCTGAGAAGTAGAGGTTGTAGTGAGATGAGATTGCACTGCTGTACTCCAGCCTGGGCGACAGAGCAACTCTGTCTCAAAAAAAAAAGAAAAAATACATAAAAATTAAAAAATAAAAATAGAAGAATTCTTTCCGGCCAGGTGCAGTGGCTCACACCTGTAATCCTAGAACTCTGGGAGGGCGAGGCAGGTGGATTGCTTGAGCCTAGGAGTTTGAGACCACCCTGATCAACATGGCAAGACCCCATCTCTACAAAAAAAAAAAATTAGCTGGGCATGGTGGCACATGCCTATAGTCCCAGCTACTCTGGAGGCTTAGGTGGGAGGATGGCTTGAGCCTAAGAGGTTGAGGCTGCAGTGAGCCATGATAGTGCCACTGCACTACAGCCTGGGCTCAATAAAAAGAATTATTTCCAAATGGAGGCCAAGGGGAGAGGATCGCCTGAGTCCAGGAATTTGAGTCTAGCTTGGGCAACATAGTGAGACCCTGTCTCTAAAACTAAAGCCCTCTGTGCCGGTCCCTCATTTCTAGTTATTACAAAGCCCTTTCAGATCTAGCAGAAACACCCTGTGAAGTCCATTCCCGAGTCCTCGTTCCACCATTGGCAACACTGCTACGTGTCTGCCCTCACCCACCAGCCATGTGTGGTCTGTGGCCACGGGGCGCATGTTTTGTCTCTGTGTTGCTCGCTGTCCCGTGGGGGGGCTCCAGCCAGCTCCCTGCATCCTTGGTGCTCCATGGTCACCTGTTGCCTTCGGCGGCCAGCCCGTGAGGCCCAGGCCACAGCCCTCCTGCCTGTTAGGAGTTTGGTACAGGAATAGGGAAAAGGGAGAGGGATGTAGCAGCAGCCAGCTCTAAAGATCCTCTCCCATTGTTCCAAGGAGTCAGTCTTTTTCTGCAGGCAAGCCATGGAAGGATTTTAAGTAGTGGAGTGACACCGTGAGACTTCGGCCTTACCCGATTGATTCATCCTGCCTCAAGGCGTCTGGGTCAGGTGGTCAGGAAAGGCCTGGACAGTGAGAGTGAGTCCAGGTTGCTGCAGGCTTTTAGGTGAAAGACAAGAGGCCCCAAAGACCTCTTCAGTAGAGATGAGAGGGACGAGACCTTTCCAGACCTGGTGAGTTACAGGCCATGAGGAGTGAAAAAGAAGATCGGGTTAAGATTTCTGGCTCTGAGGACTGTCCTCCCAGGGCAGCCAGAAGCTTGGTCCTTCCTGTCTCAGTGGTCCTTGTGGATTTCAGTTGAATGGAACTGTCCTTTGTGGCTTTGAAGGGTTATGTATCGGGGAAGAGGGACTATCTCTCACCCAAACCAGGACACCTAAAGATTAGCAAAGGTTACCTGCTCCCAGGAGAAACCTGTTGCTGGGAGTGTCATTGAGGCTTGTTAGCAAGGAATGGCCTGCACCGTGGGACGCGTCGGGCCACCTGGTCCCAGGGATGCTGCGGTATAAGTGGTAAGGGATAGGGGAGCTTTTGAGGAGGACCAGACGTTGTCTCCCCACCAGGAACGGGCTGAGAGAGCCTCCTGAGCACAAGGAGGAAGCTCCTGTCAATTCGAGGAGACCCCTGTGTGAGAAGAAGGGCAGGAAGGCTCCAAAGGGGGTCTTCACGGCAGCCGCTCACATAGACACTCGTGTCTAGTGTCAAGTGGGAGGGTGGCACTAATGGCTGCTGCCATCTGTGCCAGCTAGCAGCTGCCTGCTCCGCTCCATCATTGTTATTTATGTTACCTAGGACTCTTCTGTGTTGCCGGTGCCAGCCCCTGCTGGGGCATGTGGAGGTCGTGGAGGACAGGGCATGGGCTCACGAGGACGCAGCTCCATCCAGCTGCTTGCCTGTGGCTTTTTCTGCTCAGGAGTCACGTTTTGGCTCAGGCTTCCCTGATCCACATGAGCAGATTGAGGACGGTGGTTTGACCTTCTTCTGTCTCTGCCTAGGGCTTAGTTCTTTCAGAAATGAGCATTGGGATCAGGGTAGGGAATGCTACTCTGTTGCTATTGGGAAGAGAAGGGTCAGAATTACCAAGTTCAAACCGCACCCAGATGTCCCACCTCCTACTTGCAACTCCACTGTAGTGATGGAAATGCTAGTGTATTTTTGGTCCTTTTGGCACTAACTACCCTGTCACGCTTTTGGAGTTTCTGATTCTTGAGAGGCAAGTAGTCTACCGATTGGGAGCTAGGCAGCCTAGTTTGGGATCCCAGCCCCTCTTCTCACTAGGAGCATGACCCGGGGAGGTTACTTAGCTTCTCTGCACCTTAGTTTCCTCAAGTCTGAGGTGGGAATAGTAATATTACCTACTTGGGAGGGCTGTTGTAAGAACTAAGTGGGTTAACAGATAGATACAATGTATTTAGATAGGTATCAGTTATCTGTTGATAATAATATTACCTACTTGGCAGGATTGTTGTAAGAACTAAGTAGGTTAATAGATACAATGTATTTAGATAGGTGTCAGTTATCTGTTGCCCTTGTATCAAATCACTGCCCCAACATAGTGCCTTAAGATAGCAACATTTATTTTGCTTGAGTTTGCAGTTTGAGCAGGGCTTGGTGGAGTTGTCTTTTTGCTGTTGTACGTAACATCTGTTTGGACAGCTTAACTGGGGCTGGAGGATCTATTTTTGAGATGGCTCCTTGATGTGGCAGAGAAGTTGGTGCTACCCCTTGGCTGGGTGCTCAGCTGGGCTGTGAACTGGAGCCTTGAGTCTTCTGTCTGCACCAGCTGCTTGGGCTTCCTTACAAAATGGTTGCTCGGTTCCACAAGTAAGTGCCCCAAGAGAATAAGGTGAAAGTATTTTTATAACCTCAGAAGTCATGAGGTTCCCTGTTCTCTGTTAGTCACAGCAGTCATAAAGGCTCACCTGATTTCAAGAGGAAGAAACACAGCTTCTACCTGTGTGTGGAGAAGCAGCAAGGTTCCAGAAGAGCATGGAAGGTGAAAGATAATGCGGTGGCCATTTATGGAAAATAAAATCTGCCGCAGGATAGGTTTTGGCATACAGTAAACCTCAACAAATGTTTGCTACCAGTAGTTTAAAATCATCATCTGCATTCCTCATCCCCGACTCCTCTTCCTTAGAGAGATGGTAGTATAGTGCAGTGGTTAAGTGCATCTGCTCTGGTGGCAAGCTGCTAGGGGCCAAAGCCTGGCTCAGCCCTTATAGCTGTGTGATCTTGGACAGATTGTTTAGCCTCTTGGCAAATTTCTTGAAAGATAAACAAACCACCAAAGCTTTCTCAATAAGAATAGAAAACCTGAGTGGCCCTATATGTACTGAAGAAGGTTAATATGTAATAAAAACTTTCCCAGAAAGAAAACTTCAGGCCCAGATAGCTTTCCTGGTGAACGGTATACATTAGGGAAGAAATAATACCAATTTGACACAAATTCTTCCAGAAAATTGAAAAGGAGGAAATATTTTCTAGCCCATTTTATGAGGCCAGCATTACCTTGATACCCAAACCAGCAAAGACCTCACAAGGAAAGAAACCTCGGACCAACATTCTACACGGATGTAGATGCAAAAAATTTAAACAATTTTGCAAATGCAATAATATATAAAAAGGATAATACATCATGACTAGGGGGACTTAGCTCAGGAATGCAGGGTTGGTTTAATGTTCAAAAATCAATCATTGTAATTCACTATATTAACCAAAGGAAAAAGAAAAACCATATACAGGTTGAATATCCCTTATCCAAAATGCTTGGGTCCAGAAGTATTTCCGATTTTTAATTTTTTTCAGATTTTGGAGTATTTGCGTTATACTTACTGGTTGAGTATTTCTAACCTGAATATCCAGAATGCTCCAGTGAACGTTTTCTTTGAGTGTCATGTTGGTGCTCAAAAAGTTTGGAATTTTGGAGCATTTGGATTTCAGATTTTCGGATTAGGGATTCTCAAGCTGAAATCATCTCGAAGTAGACACAGAAAGTGTTTGACAAAATGCAACACCCATTCATGGTAAGATCTCACAACAAACTAGGCACAGAAAGGAATTTCCTCAGACTGATAAAGGATATCTACGAGAAACTTCTAGCTTACATCATACTGAGTGGTGAAAAACTGAATGCTTTTCCCCTAAGATCAGGAATGAGACAAAGATATCCCTTCTCATCATTTTTATTCAGTATTGTAAGGGAGCTTCTAAACAGTGCCATAAGGCAAGAAAAACGAAAGGCATCTGGATTAGAAAGGAAGAAATAAAACTGTCCTTATTCTCAGACAACATGATCTTCTGTATAGAAACGCCCATGACATATTTACAAAAGAGGCCACTAGACCTTTTAAGTGAGTTTATCAAGGTTGCAGGCTAGAAGGCCAACATATAAAAATCAGCTGTATTTCTGTATCCTAACAACAAACAATTGGAAATTGAGATTAAAAGGCAACTTCATTTGCAACAGCATCGGAAATATAAAAGACTTAGTGATAAATCTAAGAAAAGATGTGTCAGGTCTGTATACTGAAAGCTGTAAAATATTACTAAGAAAATTTAAAAAGATCAAAATAAACTGACAGATATACCATATTCATGGGTTTTTAAGAGTCTCCCCAATAGATCTGACATAATTTCAATCAAATCCCAGCAGACTTTTTTTTTTAAGTAGAAATTGACTAATTATTATTATTAATTAATTTTTTTTTTTTGAGACAGAGTCTCAGTCTGTAAGCCAAGCTGGAGTGCAGTGGCGCAATCTCAGCTCACCGCAACCTCCACCTCCTGGGCTCAAGTGAGTCTCATGCCTCAGCCTCCTGAGTAGCTGGGACTACAGGCGCATGCCACCATGCCCGGCTAATTTTTTGTATTTTAGTAGAGACGGGCGGGGTTTCACTATGTTGCCCAGGGTGGTCTCGAACTCCTAAGCTCAGGTGATCCACCTGCCTTGGCCTCCCTAAGTGCTAGGATTACAGGCATGAGCCACTGTGCCTGGCCTGTTATTATTATTGAGACAGGATCTTGCTCTGTCACCCAGGCTGGAGTGCAGTAGCTATGATCATAGCTCACTCTAGCCTTGACCTCTCAAGCTCAAGCCATCCTCCCACCTCAGCCTCCTGAGTAGCTGGGACTACAGGTGCAAGCCACCATGCCCAGCTATTTTTTATACTTTTTGTTATGAGGTCATAGTATGTTACCCAGACTGGTCTTCAACTCCTGACCTGAAGCGATCCATCCACCTCAGCCTCCCAAAGTGCTGGGATTATAGGCACATGCCACTGTGCTTGCCTAATTTTTTTACTTAAAAAAAATTTTTTTTTTGTAGAGATAGGGTCTCACTATATTCCCCAGGCTAGGTTTCTATTGATTGATTGATTGATTGGACTCTTGGATTAGGGACAAAGAAATTGACTAATTCTAAAGTTCATATGGAAGTTCAAATTTTTTTACTTTTTAAATTTTTTTTTTTTGTAGAGGTAGGGTCTCACTATATTCCCCAGGCTGGGTATGCATGTATGTATGTATTTATTTATTTGGACTCCTGGATTAGGGACAAAGAAATTGACTAATTCTAAAGTTTATATGGAAGTTCAGAAGAACTGGGCTAGCCAAAACAACTTTGAAAAAAATATGAACAAAGTTGGAGGATTAACACTGCCTGATTTTAAGACTTATAAAGCCTCAGTAACCAAGACATCGAGGTATTGATGTGAAATCTTTGTTTTTATTTTTCTTTTTTAAAGACAGTGTCTTTCTGTGTTGTCCAGGCTGGCTTGAACTACTGGGCTAAGGTGATCCTCTCACCTCAGCCTCCTAGGCACTGGGACTACAGGCTTACACCACTGTGCCTTGATGTGGAATCTTTTTTATTTTAATTTTTTTGTAGAGACAAGATCTCACTGCGTTGCCCAGGTTAATCTTGAACTCTTGGGCTCAAGTGATCCTCCCCACCTTAGCCTGATGTGAAATCTTTATGACCAGGGGTTAGGCAAAGATTTCTTAGATATGATATCAAAAGTATTAATCCATAAAAAGAATAAATGGATAAGTTGGCCTTCATCAAAATTTGTAAAACTTCTGTTTTAGTGACCTTTGAAAGGCACTGTTAGAAAAGAATGAGAAGACAAACCACAAATGGGAAAATATTTGCAAATCATCATGTATCTGATAGACTTGTATCCAGAGTGTATAAAAGAGCTCTCAATTTAATAATAAAAAAAAAGAAAAAGGTGAAAGATCTGGACACTTCAAAGAAGATAGATGGTAAATAAACATATGGAAAGTTGTGCAACATTATTGTTAGGAAAATGCAAATTTCAAGCATGAACATGAAAAACAATGATATACCACTACCCATCTTTTGAAATGCTTAAAGTTGGCCAGGCGCAGCAGCCCATGCCTGTGATCCCAACACTTTGGGAGGCCGAGGCGGGCAGATCACCTGAGGTTCGGAATTCAAGGCCAGCCTGGCCAACATGGTGAAACGTCTCTACTAAAAATATTTAAAAATTAGCCAGGCATGGTGGTGCGTGCCTGTAATCCCAGCTACTCAGGAGGCTGAGGCAGGAGGATCACTTGAACCCAGGAAGTGGAGGTTTTAGTGAGCTGAGATGGCACCACTGCACTCCAGCCTGGGCGACAGAGTGAGACCGTCTCAAAAAAAAAAAAAAATGCTTAAAAAGAGCGAGCATATCAACAGTTGGTGGAGATGTGGAGGAACTGGAACTCTCATATACTGCTAGTGAGAATGTAAAATGGTACAATCATTTTGGAAAACAGTTTGGCAGTTTTGTAAAAAGTTAAACATGTGATCTAGCTATTTCACCTCTAGCTTTACCAAAAGAAACAAAAAGTGTACATCCACACAAAGCCCTGAATGAATGTTCATAGCAACTTTGAAATAACCCAAAACTAGAAACAATCTTAGCTGTTCATCAACAGGTGAATGGATAAACTGTGGTATATTTATTACTCAGCAAAGAAACAGAATGAACTGTTGGTACACAGTGCAATGTGGATGAGTTTTTAAATAATTATTCTGAGTGAAAGAATCCAAGCAAAAAAAAAGACTACATACTGTATTATTCCATTTATATAATACATCATGTAAATATATATATTATATGTAATAATAGATGCAGATTCATCTAATAGTAACAGAATGCAGCTCAGTGGTTGCCTGGGCATGGATGGGCAAGGAGGCACGGGAGGGTTATGGATATGTTATCTTGATTGTTGTGATGATTTTACAGATATGCACGTAGGTCAAAATGTATCAAACTGTATTCTTAAAATATATACTGTTTATTGTGGCACAACTTAGCGAAACTGTTTTTAAAAATGGGTAGGGTTGGCCAGGCACGATGGCTCACATCTATAATCCCAGAACTTTGGGAGGCCCAGGCGGGTGGATCACTTGAGGTCAGGAGTTTAAGACCAACCTGGCCAACATGCTAAACCCTGTCTCTACTAAAAATACAAAAATTAGCTGGGCATGGTGTTAGGCACCTGTAATCCCAGCTGCTCGGGAGGCTGAGGTGGGAGAATCACTTGAACCTCGGAAGCAGAGGTTACAGTGAGCTGAGATCACGCCATTGCATTCCAGCCTGGGTGACAGAGTGAGACTCCATCTCAAAAAAAGGAAGAAAGAAAAAACAAGGGTGGAGTGGCTGGGCACAGTGGCCCACACCTGTAATCTCAACACTTTGGGAGGCCAAGGCAGAAGAATTGCTTGATTCCAGGAGTTCGAGACCAGCCTGGGCAACAAAGGGAGACTCCACCTCTATAAAAATACAAAAATTAGCCAGGCGTGATGGTGCATGCCTGTAGTCCTAGCTGCTCAGGAGGCTGAAGTAGGAGGATCTCTTGAACTCAAGAGTTTAAGACTGCAATGAGCCATGCTTGTGCCGCTGTACTCCATTCTGGGTGACAGAGTGAGATCTTGTGTCTTAAAAAAAGCAGGGAGCTGGGGAAGTAAGTTGCATGTGGCTGGACCTCATTGCTCATGACTGGCAATTCAAGATCAGAAGGACCTTTTGCAACCCAGCAGGCCTTTGAGCCCTGTCAGTCTCCTGTCCCTTGCATGGTTGTAAGCCTTACACATTTGCTTTCTGCCAACTGTGCAAATCCCAGTATCAAAACATTAGATTTTTTTTTTTTTTTTTGAGACGGAGTCTTGCTCTGTCCCCCAGGCTAGAGTAGTGATGCGATTTTGGCTCACTGCAACCTCCGCCTCCCAGGTTCAAGTGATTCTCATGCCTCAGCCTCCTGAGTAGCTGGGATTACAGGCACCTTCCACCACGCCTGGCTACTTTTTGTATTTTTAGTAGAGTTGAGGTTTTGTCATGTTGGCCATGCTGGTCTTGAACTCCTGATCTCAGGTGATCCGTCCACCTTGGCCTCCCAAAGTGCTGGGATTACAGGCGTGAGCCACCGTGCTCAGCCCAAAACATTAGATTCTTTATCTTCCTTCGGGTGGATCATTTACAATGCAGATTTACAGATTTCTCTCAGATTCACTTCTTCCCAATGAATGCGTCATTTCTTGGTGCCGTTGTTTACTGTGTGTAAACTACTGAATTTCAGGATTATTGTGACAAACCCAACTCAGACTCAATGGGATCTGTTTATCAGCTTGGATTTTGGAAATTAAGGGGTAGATTTCAGGCACAGCTGGATTCCAGAGGTGCAGCTGGTGTTAGTGTTATCTATTGGTTATTGTTTTGTTGTCTGCTGACTTCCTTCTCAGGCAAGTTTTCCCCATGTGGTGGCAGAGGCAGCCGCCAGCAACAACAGGGAAAGAGCCCCTCCTTCCTAATTGGCCTGGGAACAGTTTCAAGTTCAGCTGTCACTGGCTGGACTTGGGTCAGCAGCTATGCCTGAATGCCCAAGGGAGATGAGGGGCTTATTGCCAGGCCCAGGTCACCTGCCTGGGAACCAGGGGTGGAGTTGGCCAGAGCCAAACAATGTGGACAGAGAGCAAGGAGGGGATGTTCTACAGAGACAGATGGCCCAGTGTTGCTGGGAGAGGAGGGCGTGGCTGTCAGCAGGGAAGAGCAACAGATGGCCCTGCACCAGGGGACAAATCCAGTTGTTTTTAATTTTTAACTAAGTAGGATATTAATATGCTTCCAAAAGTCAAAGGATTCAAAAAGGGTCTGTCTACCCTATTCCTTATAGCCCTTGTAGGGCGACTGATTTCATTGACTTCTCATTTTTCCTTCCTGTGTTTCTTTTGGTAAAGATAAGTCGATGTATTTATGTTTTCTTGTTTCCTCCCTTTTGTACACATTAGAGAGCATACTATTTGTACTCTTTTGTACTTGCTTTTTTCACTTATCAAGAGAAAGGAAAACATTTGTAACCAGCTGTGCTAATTCTTGCCATTATCAGTACACAGCATGGAGGTTGATTTGAAGATGACGGGATGTCCATGTGAGCATATGAAGGGACTGCCAGGCTTTTCTTCTGCCAAACGGTGTCTTTTTGCTCTTAAGCCTGGGTGCCAAGTGAATCTCTCTCCTCTTCCAATGCAGATGGCGGCAGCTATGCCATCCACGACTCCCAGGCCCCCAGTCTCAGCTCTGGGGGTGAGAGTTCCCCCTCCAGCCCCGCACACAACTGGGAGATGAATTACCAAGAGGCAGCAATCTACCTCCAGGTGAGTATCTCCAGTCAGGCCCTGGCAGTTGTCTGCACCTGTTGGTGGGGTGGGGCAGCCAAGACTCTGTTAGGTGCCCAGAAATTCAGTTCCAGCATCAGTTCATGCTGCTGCTGCTCGTGTGTGAGCTTCAGGTTCATAAGATGGGCTGACCTGACTGTGCTCATAGGGGAAAACTGCTGTGCACCAGCTTGTCTTCAGACCCCTGTTTAGGGCTGTGCCAACCCCCACAATTTCCGGAGTCTGGCCACTCGGCCTTCCCTGCCACCCTCCCTCTTCTCAGGGCACACTGAGAGGCCACGTTCTCAGGAGGGAATTCTTTACATACTGAATGCGGTAGCTTTATTCCTGTTTAACTTGTTGCTGCTTTCCTGTTTGCTATTTTAGGAATTTTTTTTTTTTTGAAAAATATATTTTTGGCCAGGCATGGTCGCTCATGCCTGTAATCCCAGCACTTTGGGAGGCCAAGGCCTGCAGATCACTTGAGATCAGGAGTTCGAGATCAGCCTGGCCAACATAGTGAAACCCTGTCTCTACTAAAAATACAAAAAATTAGCTGGGCGTTGGTGGGCGCCTGTAATCCCAGCTACTCGGGAGGCTGAGACAGGAGAATCGCATGAGATGGAGGTTGCAGTGAGCCGAGATCGCACCACTGCACTTCAGCCTGGGTGACAATGCAAGACTCTGTCTCCAAAACAAACAAAAAATTTTGTATTTTTGTGTGAAAGTAATACATGCTTATTACAATAAATTTAGATACAAAGAGGAATGAAGAAACATTCACCTAAGGCAGTCACTGTCAACATTATTTCCTTCCAGGTTTAAAAAAAATGTATTATAAGAATAATATATCTGTTTTCCAAAAAAGTCATATGGTATGTGCAATTTTATAGTCTGCTTTTTTTTTTCATAGCATAAGCTTTTTTTTTTTTTTTTTTTTTCTTTTTTTGGAGACAGTCTCACTCCATCACCCAGGCTGGAGTTGAATTGCAGTGGCTTGATCTCGGCTCAGTGCAACCTCTGCCTCCCGGGTTCAAGCGATTTTCCTGCCTCAGCCTCCGGAGTAGCTGGGACCACAGGCACGTGCCACCATGCCCGGCTAATTTTTGTATTTTTAGTAGAGATGGGGTTTCGCCATGTTGGCCAGGCTGATCTCAAACTCTTGACCTCAGGTGATCCGCCGACCTCAGCCTCCCAAAGTGCTGGGGTTACAGGCATGAGCCACCACACCTGGCTATTTAAATAGCTTTAAATTATATCAGGTAAATTATTCTAATTTACTTAACCTGATAATCTTGAATATTTTCCCTTATTGTAAATTATAGTCCAAGGACAATCTATACGTAGCACCCCCCACCCCCTTACATCTAGGATTATTTTACTAGGAAAGTAAAAGAAATGGAAATTCTAAGAAATGGAATTACCGGGTAGAAGGAATCAACAATTTTTAGGGCCTTGATGTTTCAGCATGGAATCCTCTGCACAGGAAGTATTTCCTCTTTACTGAGGGCCCCACTGGCGGTGACATTTTAACCTTAATCTTGCCAATCTTGTCACTATCAGATTTCAGTTTCTGGTTTGCATTGAGTAAGAGCTTGGATGAGGAAATAGACTTTTTCTTAAATGCATTCGAATCATAATTTTCCCTAATCTTTCTTATGTGAAGCAGCTCTCCACTGCAAGTATTTGTTTTGTCATTTAAAAAGGATTTAGTGAAATTCAAGCCTGGGCAACATGGCAGAACCCATCTCTGGTAAAAATACAAAAATTAGCCAGGCGTAGCATGTGTACCCTCTAGTTCTAGCCACTTGTGAGACTGAGGTGAAGGGATCGCCTGAGTCTGGGAAGTTGAGGCTCCAGTGAGCCGTGTTTGTGTCACTGCACTTCAGCCTGGGTGACAAAATGAGACCCTGTCTAAAAAAAAAAAAAAAAAAAGATTTAATGAAATTTAGACATTTGTTTGATGGTTGTTCAATCATCTGTTTCTCATATGTTCATGCAGCATCATATACACCTAAATGATCATGTTTTGTTTCAAATTAAGGCAACAGAATGTTTTAGGGAAATTGTCCCAAGCGCAGGCATACTTGTTAATGATCTAGCAGGGACATCTTATGCACATCACCTTCTCTGAGGCCGGATAAGAGCGTGGGATAGGTCAGAACACAGACTCAGAATGGTTGAAGCCCTAAGGATCCTGATCATTCCTTCCTTTCCTAAGCAGGTGAGGACATTGGTAATGAACATAGGAACTTTAAGGGGGCACCTGCTAATCTTTGTAACAAGCCTCTGAGGCTGTAGTGATCATCTCCCACTTTACAGATGTGGCAACTGAGACTCAGAGGGGCCAAATGATGCCCAAGGCCACCCAGCTAGGGAGTTGCAGAGCTCCACATTTAAACTGTTTAGCCTCCAGATGATGTTTTTTATTCTGTGTGCTATTGCATCACTTATGAACTGACCTTGTGCATCTCCTTGAAAATGGGCCATGTACTTGTGGGAAAAAGCAGTTATGGAACAGCTGGTGTTGTATGATCATTTTAAATTGATGTCATACAGCAGCATGTGCATGTGGGTATGTATGTGTACAGATATCCATACATATCTCAAAAATTGTTTAAATATTAAAGGTGATTATCTCTGGCTGATGGAATTTTTACTACCTTACAAATTTATATTGTTTAAATTATTTTACCAAAAATGCATTATTTTTAAAAAAATTAAAGAAAAACTTGGATTTCACAGTCATTCACGGCTGTTTCTAGAGGATGAGATGGCCTGTTTTTCTTGAGACAGACTCTCACTCCGTTGCCCGGGCTGGAGTATAGTGGTGCGACCTTGGCTCGCTGCAACCTCCTCCCAGGTTCAGGTGATTCTCCTGCCTCAGCCACCCAGGTAGCTGGAATTACAGGCACCTGCCGCCACACCAGGCTAATTTTTGTATTTTTAGTAGAGATGGGGTTTCACCATGTTGGTCAGGTTGGTCTCAAATTTATGACCTCAAGTGATCCACCTGCTTAAGCCTCCCAAAGTGCTGGGATTACAGGCATGAGCCTCTGTGCCCGGCTCAAGATGGCCTGCCTTTTCACGCTTGCAGCCAAGCTGCGGGTCCTGCAGTGAGCCAGGTTGCTGGTGTGCATGGATAATTGGCCCTCGCTGCTTTGAGGGTGTCTGGTGCCTGCAGTTTCCCCTCTTCCCACATTTTACCTGTTAACTCACTCATCCTCTGGAGCCACGTGCTCAGCAGTCCTGACGCCTTTGAAACAGTACTCATTTCTGTGTGGACTTGGACCCCAGGGAGCGGAGAGCAAAGGCCTAGAAATCGCTACAACTGGCCTTCCTTATTTTTCCAAATCTAGTTTATGATCAGCCAGGAAACAGGGCCGATATTCTCTGGGGTTTTCATCAGAATCCAGTGCCATGGGTGATATTTCCATCTGTTGGTGGAGACCTCATTACCCCCATCTCTTCTGGGACAACTCCAAGTCCTAGAGTTAAAATCTGAGCCCCATGTCAGTGGTTCTTCTAGCGAGACCTTCATTCCTGGTTATTTGTTGGAAGAAATTGCCCAAGAAATACATTTTTTTTTTTGGTTATTGAAACCAGAAGCTCCCCAGGCCACTGTGTGTGGCCCCCTGCCCACTGCTGTGGTCATGGAGGTGGTAGTGAAAACCACAGCCCTGCACAGAGCACAGAACTGTGTTCAACTTACCTTCTGTTGACTGCCAAGGTGTTTGCTCCCTTTGACATGCCTGCCCCTGCCGGGTTTGCTGCTGGGTCTGTGGTTTGTCTCGATTTTTTGCTAATGGGGCGAGCAGTTTATCCAGCTTCAGGGAAGTGACTCACTCACAGTCACTCTGCAAACTGCAGGCAGGGCCTTTCCCAGAATAAGTTTGTGAGAATGGGCCGAGCATGGTGGCTCACACCTGTAATCCCAGCACTTTGGGAGGCTGAGGTGGGCAGATCACTTGAGCTCAGGAGTTCGAGACCAGCCTGGGCAACATGGTGAAACACCATCTCTACTAAAAATACAAAAATTAGCCAGGTGTGGTGGTGCACGCCTGTCATTCCAGCTACCCGGGAGGCTGAGGCAAGAGAATTGCTTGAACCCAGGAGGCGGAGGTTGCAGTGAGCCAAGATTGCACCACTGCACTCCAGCCTGGGTGACAGAGCAAGACTCTGTCTCAAAAAAAAAGAAAAAAAAAAGTTGTTACATAACATATAAATATATCAAAATATCACATTGTACCCCATATACAATTATTATTTGTCAATTAAAACAAAGTAGGGTATGGGGAATCCTGAATTAAGTAAATGTATAGTAGCAATACGCCACTGTGCAGCTCTTTTTGTTTATTTTTTTGGAGACGGGGCCCAGGTTGGAGTATAGTGGTACAACTTTGGCTCACTGCAACCTCCACCTCCTGGGTTCAAGTGATTCCCCTGCCTCAGCCTCCCAAGTAGCTGGGACTACAGGCGCATGCCACCATACCCAGCTAATTTTTGTATTTTTAGTAGAGACGAGGTTTCACCATGTTGGCCAGGCCGGCCTCGAACTCCTGACCTCAGGTGATCCACCCGCCTCAGCCTCCCAAAGTGCTGGGATTACAGGCATGAGCCACTGCACCTGTTTTGGGTAGCTCTTGATGGGTGTTAAAGGGTCTGACTAGGCAGGGTTATTGGCTTCTTTTTTTCTGGTAATGTTCATATAACTTACGATAATAGCAAATACCTGTAGTGAGCTGACTGTGTGGCAGACACCACCCTAACTGCCTCACAAATGTCCTCACCTTTCCTCTTCACAACAGCTCCAGGAGGAAGCACTAATGTTAGTTCCTTTATCGTTGAAGAAGCTCAGCCTCAAGGGTGAAGGAACCTTCCCAGCATTCCTCAGGGAAGGAGTAGAAAGCCAGGGTTCAGCACGTGTGGTTCCTCCCAGGCCCCTGAGCTCTTTACACTCTGCTGGGCACTCCTAGAGGGAGAACTTGGCCTCTGAGGGGATTGGACATGCCTGTTTCTCTTTACCTCCTCTCAGGACCTTTTTTCTTTTTCTTTCTTTTTTTTTTTTTTTTGAGACCAGGTCTTGCTCTGTGGTCCAGGCTGGAGCGCAGTGGCACGATCTTGGCTCACTGCAGCTTTGACCTCCCGGGCTCAAGTGATTCTCCAACCTCAGCCTCCCAAGTGGCTGGCACCAGGGGTCTCAACATGTTGCCCAGGCTGGTCTCAAACTCATGGGCTCAAGCAATCCTCCTGCCTTGGCCTCCCAAAGTGTTGGGATTACAGGCATGAGCCACCGCACCCAGCCCCTCCCCTCTTTTTTAAGAGATGGTGTCTTGCTGTGTTGCCCAGGCTAGACTCAAAGTCCTGGCTCAAGGGATCTTCCCGCCTTGGCCTCCGGAGTAGCTGGGATGTCACCACACCTGGCTGTCTCTGGACCCTTTTAGTCTTTGGTTCCTCCGAGTGGTTTTTAAGAAGCAGCAAATCTCTTGAGCCCATCAGCAGGCAGGAGTGAGACCTGACCACCGTGAGTTTCGCGAAGATCATTTTGATTTTCCAGCATCTTCTGTCTCTGGCCTGAATCTCTCCTCGCCTGCCTGGGGCCTTCCTTTCCTCCCCTGCCCGCGGCTCCTCTTTGGCGTTGGATGGGTCTCCAGGCTTACATGCCCACACTACTCTCATCTTTTCAGGAAGGCGAGAACAACGACAAGTTCTTCACCCACCCCAAGGATGCCAAGGCGCTGGCGGCCTACCTCTTTGCACACAATCACCTCTTCTACCTGATGGAGCTGGCCACGGCCCTGCTGCTGCTGCTGCTCTCCCTGTGCGAGGCCCCCGCCGTCCCCGCACTCCGGCTTGGCATCTATGTGAGCGCACATGCTCCTCATACGGGGGGCTGGGAGCCACGGCTTTCAGGGCAAGCGATGGAACTCCAAAAAGGAACATTCTGGGAGGGCAAACACTGCAAACGGACTTAAAACAGAGAGATACGAGGTGGTCATAGAGGCCTTGGGAGCGGAAATGCCTGGGTGTCCCTGCTGGAGTGAATGGCCTTCACCCAGTCTCTCTGGGATTCTGCCCACCAGTAAATTCCAGGGAGGGGAAGTGTCCCAGGCCCTGCTCAGGACCAGTGCCCACACCTTGGCTCCGGGTGGGGAGGGCACCCAGTGGACAGTCCCACTACTCTGTCTCCAGCCTCAAAGGAGAAGGCAGTTCGGTGTGGTCACCATGGGAGGTGGGGGATGTTTCCTGGGCAGCCCCAGCCCCGCAGATGTCCCTACACCCAGGCCCAGCCATCATTCAGTGGGGGCCAGAACAGGTGTGGAGCTGTGCTTGTCCCCTTCTCAAGGGGTGTGTGGTAGGCATGGAAGCAGGGAAGGGAGCCTGTGCCTGTTGAGTTAGGAAGCGCTCATCCAGCCTGGCCTCCAAGGCCCTCCATGACTCAGTTTCCCTTCCTGTTTCTCCTTCTTCATGCCTGGAACTCACAGCTCCAGCCAGTCTGTGTTTCTTTCTGTGCACACCTCCCCCATGCCGTCACCTGTGCTGGAGTCCTTCTTCCTGTCCCTTCACTTTGTCAATTCCTGCCCACTGGAATGTCCACAGGCCCTGGACCTCCCTACCCCCAGGAGGAGGAGCTCTCCTATGTCTGTTTCCCAGAAGCACTTGACTTCCCTGCTGGGAAGGTTTTCCATCTAAGGGTTTTCCATGTCTTGTCCTTTTGTCCAAAATGAGGATGAGAGTTTTAGGGGCTGCTCTCTGCTTGACAGTCCTTGTTTCTTTGACAATCGGATTTTATTTCTTAAGTTCCTAATTGATGCTTTCTTAGTGTCTTTTATAGATCTTTTGTAAATTACATGAAATCCCTCTTAGAACAAGACTAGATATTAAATTTTATCTTATCTTGTTTTTCTTACTTTTTTTTTTTTTGAGACTGAGTCTCCCTCTGTTGCCCAGGCTGGTGTGCAGTGGCACCATCTCGGCTCACTGCAACATCTGCCTCCTGTGCTCAAGCGATTCTCCTGCCTCAGCCTCCTGAGTAGCTGGGATTACAGGTGTGCGCCACCACGCCCAGCTAATTTCTTTTTCTTACTTTTAAACTTCAGGCTCCTTCCTGATTTTTCATCATTTGGGCCAGCATGTCAGTTTCATGGATATCAAGTTTATGTTTAGTTGTTCTGGGGAAAGCTCCGTGACCAAGGCTCTGTCTTTAGGCATGCGAGGCCAGGTTTTTGTAACTCTGATATGTGTTGGGAGGATGTCCTGGGGCACTCCCAGGTCCTGGGAGGGTTGGGCAAAGAGGAGTGGCCATGGGCTGGGCTGGCCATGACACATCTCCACACCCTCTGGTCTCAGGTCCACGCCACCCTGGAGCTGTTTGCCCTGATGGTGGTAGTGTTTGAACTCTGCATGAAGTTACGCTGGCTGGGCCTCCACACCTTCATCCGGCACAAGCGGACCATGGTCAAGGTGATGTGTCCGCCCATCTGTCCCTCCCCTCACAGCCTTTTCTCCCATGTCACCTTCAAACCTGTCTCTTTGGTACAATTCAGAATCCACCATGGGCCCAGTCCATGCTCAGAGGTGTAACCCTAGGGTCCCTGTCCTGACCGTGCCCTCAGCCTTGTGGGTGCCCTGGATGTCGTGATGCCAGCAGTAGCTAATGTGATTGGGTGTTTGGTACCTGCCAGGCACTGGCGCAGTCACCTTCGAGAGAGATGTGCTGCTCTCCGTGGTTTACATTCATCTGGAGACATGGGGCTCACACCCAGCTCTGCCCACTGCGCCCGGCTCACCTGTCCCTAGTGTTGCGCATATTCTCTCTGTGCCACAGAGAGTGGCATGAGTAAGAGCACGTCAAGGTGGCATTTTGTAGTGTGTGGAGCATGTGCGCTACTCTAGGAGAATATAGCCAAGTAAGCAGAGCTGAAGAGGAGCTGCAGGCCCCGGGATCCCTGATGTGAGTGGCGAGGGCTGATCGAGGGGTCCTGGCAGAGTGGCGGTTTTGCCTCCTCAGTGGATACCAGCAGTCACACAGCCCTTCCATTCTTCTGGTGCCACACACCTGTGCCAGCACCTGGAGTTTTTTTTCTTCTGGGGCTGCCTGATGTTGGCAGGAAGTGTGAGAGGGCTGGAGAGAGGAGAAGGCCTCCCGAGGCCAGAGTGGGCACTGCCTCTCCAGCCCCCCGTTCCAGGTATGCAGGATGACGGCTGGGCTGCAGGGGCTGACGGTGCTCCATGCCTGCCACCCACAGACCTCGGTGCTGGTGGTGCAGTTTGTCGAGGCCATCGTGGTGTTGGTACGGCAGATGTCCCATGTGCGGGTGACCCGAGCACTGCGCTGCATTTTCCTGGTGGACTGTCGGTATTGCGGTGGCGTCCGGCGGTAAGGCCCGGGTGGGGAGCTGGGCAGTCACTATCCTGGCATGGCCTGACCTCTGGGCCAGTGGGGCAGGAGCTTGTGAGTCAGTTAGTGATGAGGTCGACCCTGCATGCTGGTGGAGTACACGCAGACTCACTCTCCCTCTGCCATTCCATCCACGCACAGGAGAAAGCGGTATTCCTACCGCAGTGTAGGTTTGCTGCCTCTGGGTCCAGGGCTTTTTCCCATCTTATCCGCAGCCTTCCAGAGCTGCTTCCTCGCTCTAGGCATGTTATCTACCCAAATGCAGGCAGCTCAGCAGCGTCCATGTGACACAAGCAGACTCTCCTGCCACCTCCATCGAGGCTGTAGGACCAAACTCAAACCAGACCAAGCCTCGACTGAGATTTATTTTGGGAGACTCAATCTGGAAAATTCCTTGGCTGGGCTACTGTTGCTGAGAGTGGGTTTGCAATTCATTCTCTGTGCCCATCTGCAAAGCTAGAAACAGGACTCAGTGTCCTTGAAACAGGCCCAGTGTCCCAGGACTAAGTGGCCTTGAAATGTCTTCATGCCTTCCACATCCTGCTCATGGAAACTGACCTTTGCACCCAAGGTCATGCCCTTGGCCTTCTGCTGCTCTGTTCCCTGCTTGCATGGCACTCACCTCCTTGGGGCCTCACCAGGTGGAGGTGGCTGTGTGCTACGCCTGCCCTAGTTCTTCCCTGCCATCCGCTGAGTGGGGGTCTCAAGCCACTTTAGGAAAAAATGAAGCATGATGTCACACCAGAGTGCGTCAGGGTTTAGTATTTCGAGTCAGAAGCACTAGGCCTCCATCTCAACAAGGAGGAGTCCCAGGCAGCCCGCCCCAGCTGGTGCCTCCCCTGAGCTGGCCCATCTCTCCCCAGCAACCTGCGGCAGATCTTCCAGTCCCTGCCGCCCTTCATGGACATCCTCCTGCTGCTGCTGTTCTTCATGATCATCTTTGCCATCCTCGGTGAGTTCCCGCCTCTCAGGCCCAGGTGCGCTGGAAAAGCAAGTTCACGGTGGATGAAAAATTATTTTGGGCCTGGCTCAGTGGCTCACGCCTGTAATCCTAGCATTTTGGGAGGCCAAGGTGGGTGGGTAACCTAGGTCAGGAGTTTGAGGCCAGCCTGGTCAACATGGTGAAATCCAGTTTCTACTAAAAATACAAAAATTAGCTGGGCGTGGTGGTGCACACCTGTAATCCCAGCTGCTTCGGAGGCTGAGGCAGGAGAATTGCTTGAACCCGGGAGGCCAAGGTTGCAGTGAGCTGAGATCGTGCCACTGCTTTCCAGCCTGGGCAACAACAGAGTGAGTGAGACTTTGTCTCAAAAAAAAAAAGAAAAGAAAAGAAAAATTATTTAGACAGTGCCTTAGTCCTTTTGGACTGCTGTAACAAAATGCCATAGACTGGGCAGCTTATAAACAACAGAAGTTTATTTCACCCCTTTCTGGAGGCTGTGAGATCTGGAAGTCCAAGATCAAAGGCCAGCTGTGGGTGTCTGTTGAGGGCCTATTTCCTGATCCATAGGTGGTGCCTTCTGGCTGTGTCCTCACGTGGTGGAAGGTGGGAGGCAGCTCTCTGAGGCCTCTTTTTTGTTTGTTTTGTTTTGTTTTTTTTTTTTTGAGACGGAGTCTCACCCTGTCACCCAGGCTGGAGTGCAGTGGCACGATCTCGGCTTACTACAACCTCTGCCTCCCAGGTTCAAGTGATTCTCCTGCCTCAGCCTCCCGAGTAGCTGGGACTACAGGCACCCACCACCACACCCAGCTACTTTTTGTAGTTTTAGTAGAGATGGGGTTTCACCATATTGGCCAGGCTGGTCTCCAACTCCTGACCTTGTGATCCACCTGCCTCCGCCTCCCAAAGTGCTGTGATTATAGGCGTGGGCCACCGCGCCCGGCCTCTGGGACCTCTTTTATAGGGGCACTAATCCCATTCGGGAGGACGTCACACTCATGACCTCTTCACCTCCCACAGCCGCCACCTCCTAACACCCTCAACTTGGGGATTAGGATTTCAACATAGGGATTAGGGGCAGGGGACACAAACATTCAGACCAGAGCAGGTAGTTTTATAAATTCAGAAAGATTTTAAAAATACGCCAGGCATGGTGTCCCACGCTGATTGTCGCAGCATTCTAGGAGGAGGAGGCAGGCAGATCGCTTGAGTCCAGGAGGTCGAGACCAGCCTGGGCAAGATAGGGAGACCCCATCTCTACACACACACAAAAAAAATATACAGGAATTAGCTGGGTATGGTGGCATGTGGCATGCACCTGTGGTCCCTGCTACTCAAGAGGTGAGGCAGGAGGATCACCTGAGCATGGGGAGACAGAGGTTGCAGTGAGCTGTGACAGCGCAACTGCATTCCAGCCTGGGCAACAGAGCAAGACTCTGTCTCAAAAATAAATAAGTAATAATAACATGAACACCCATGGACCTACCATCCAGCTTAGGAAATGAAGCCTTAGAAATAAAATGGAAGGCATGTTTGTGACCTTTAGTGATTGTGATTCCCGCTTTCCCCAAAGGTACCCCCTGTCCTACGCTTATCATTCCCATGCACGTCTTTATATTTTACTTCACATTTACATTTCCCCAAGTGACAAAGAAATGATAATGCTTTGCATACTTAAAAAAGTCTCTAAGTGGTTATATAATATGGGTGTCCGCTTCTACACATTGCCCTTTCGCTCAGCACTGTGTTTTTGAAATTTATTCCTGTTGATACATGTAGATGCTGTTTATTCATTTTCACTGGAGCGGAGCAAGTATGCCAAAGCTTGTTTATCTGCTCTTCTGTCGGACGTTTTTCTTATCACAAATCCCACCGCAGTGAACACTCCTGTGTGTTTCCCGGTGCTCACGCTTGAGAGTTTCCCAAAGGCGCTTGCCTGGGCCCTGAGAGACGGCAAGCTTCAGCTTCACTGGGTACAGCATGGTCACAGGCTGCTCACTCAGGAGGGCTTAGTTTTTCAGGTGGGGCTGACTGTGACAGCCACACAAGAGTCACAGGGCATAGACATCGGAAGCCGTGGCACTCAGCTGGGAAAGCCGAGGTCCTTTCACCAGGACTCCGCAGATGGTGAAGACAGTGGAACTCCAGAGCCCTGACTCTGAGGCTAGAGCCAGGGCCAACCCCTCCCGGCCCTCGTGACTGCCTTGTCCTGAGTCATGGCTCTCACTTCCTCCCACCCACCACCCCACTCTTGGTAGAATTTTGTTTGTGCTTCTCCGGGGGTAGGGGCTGATTTCCCCTGAGGGCAGAGTTCCTCCCTTTTCCCACTCAGGATTTCAGGGACTCAGGGAGTGGTCCATTCCTGGAGGGAGGAAGTGAATGGCATTCCCACCCTGGGACCCTGGCTGCAGGGAGCAGCGGATCCCTTTGGAATTTAGTCAGCTGTCATGTTCTCAGAACCTAAGATTGCGAAACAGCAGCCTGGATTCCAGATCCAGCCTACAGATGGGTTTTGTTTGGTCTGAAAACTTTGAGCCAGCATTTTAAAATTAGATTTTACACAAAAATACAGACTTCCAGCCTTTTGAAAGAACAGAGCCGATAGTGCCCGGCACATTGCTGTAGGGCAGCAAGCGTCTGGTGCCAGCAGCCCTGCTCCCTTCCAACAGAGCATGTGTTCTCAGGGTGCTGTGGTCCCCAGCAGTCCCTGCTGCTCTTCCTGACCTGCTGCGTTCATTTGCATGTATTTGTCCAGTCCTTTTGACACCAGGTTTTGGGACCTCTGCTCTAATCCTTTTGTTTATCTGTTTCCACCCACTTCTAGGTTTCTACTTGTTCTCCCCTAACCCTTCAGACCCCGTAAGTAATCAGCACATTTGTCCGTCTCTTCTTTTATGGAGGGCTTTTCCCTCAGACAGGGTCACCGGCGTGACCCTGTGGCCATATGGGGAAGGGGGGGCCTGCCTGGTTTCTCATCATAGCTTGTGTGTGCATTGCACCTGGGAGTTCCCATCACTCAGACTTGACCACTTTCTTCCTTGAGAGCTGGGGATCCCCTTTTCTGTTCTTGAAAGGAGTGCCGCCAGGATCAGGTTTGGACCATTGGAATATTTTGGCAGAGGAGCAGTGGGGGAGAGCCAGGCGAATGGCCCAGACATGTGACTCCCTAGAAAAAAGTCCCCCCAAGTCAATAGTTTGCTTCTGCCGGAAGCATCAGGTGCAGGAAAGGGGAGGCCTCTGGACTGCATGTTTGCTCTTTCCTCTGCCTCCCTCAGGGATTCCTTGAGAGATGCAAGAGCGGTCAAGGCAGGGCATGCCAGGTGGCCCATCACAGCCTGTTCCTGATGGCCGTGTGCTCTTGGCTGGTCCCGACTTCTCTGCCCTCTCTTCCCTTGCAGTACTTCAGCACCCTGGAGAACAGCATCGTCAGTCTGTTTGTCCTTCTGACCACAGCCAAGTAAGTGCAGGCTCTGCCTTGCCTTTGGTCCTCTGCTGCCGCCCTGGGGTCTCTTTCTCTTTTCTGCCAAGTATATTCCACATCCCAGCACAGGCAGGTGCTGTGGTGCTATTGGGAGACAGGGTTGGCCCACTGAGCACGGAGCCCAGGGATGAGAGTAGGGGAACCAGGGTTGGAGGCTGGGAAGGCAGACAAGGAGCTGTCCTCTGCAAGGCATGTGCTCTGAGAGGATGGAGACAGGCAGATACAGCACGCCGGGTCACCCTCTGCAAATACAGTTTCCCAGATGTGATGATGCCCTCCTACTCCCGGAACCCCTGGTCCTGCGTCTTCTTCATCGTGTACCTCTCCATCGAGCTGTATTTCATCATGAACCTGGTGAGTGACTATGCCTCAGGCTACGCTGAAGCAGCCTGCCCCTACCCATGCAGCACTAGGCACTGTGGGAGTGGAGAAGTGGGGACTGTCTTCTGCCTCTCAGGGCAGAACGTTGGGGCAGGAAGTCCCAGATTCATAGTCAGGTGCGGTGTTGCAGGGAATGCCCTGTCGGGACTTCAGGAGTTCAGCCAGTTGCTGGGGGTGGCGTCCTCACCAAGGCAATGCTGCTGATGCTGGTAGTGCTGGATGTGAAACCCAGGCAACCCTGGGACCTTTTCATTCTTACATCAGAAATAAGCAGTTGACCCTCGGTGTCCACAGGGATTGTTTGCAGGACCCCCTGTAGGTACAAAGATCCACAGATGTTCAAGTCCCTTATATAAAATGGCAGAGTATTTGCAGATAACCTGTGTACATTCATCCTCTCATATATTTTAAATTATCCTGCATTACCTATAACACCTAATACAATGTAAAAGCTATGTAAATAGTTGTTATACTGGGCTGGACATGGTGGCTCACGCCTGTAATCCCAGCATTTTGGGAGGCCAAGGTGGGTGGATCATTTGAAGTCAGGAGTTCGAGACCAGCCTGGCCAACATGGTGAAACCCTGTCTCTACTTATGAAAATTAGCTGGGCGTGGTGGTGGGTGCCTGTAATCCCATCTACTCAGGAGGCTGAGGCAGAAGAATTGCTTGAACCCAGGAGGTGGAGGTTGCTGTGAGCCGAGATCATGCCGTTGCACTCCAGCCTGGGCAACAGCACGAGACTCTGTATCAAAAAAAAAAAATTGTTATACTATATTGTTTAGGGATAATGACAAGAAAAAGAAGGCTGTACATGTTCAGTACAGATACAACCATCCTTTTCTTTTTGGAATATTTTTGATTTGCGGTTGGTTGAATGCATGGATGGAGAACCCACAGATAAAGAAGGCCAAGTATATTATAATAACCATAAAAGCTGGCATTTAGTAAGCCTTAGCCACTTGGCACTATGCAAAGTGCTTTACATATGAGGATGAAATAATTTAATAAATAAACACAACCGTGGAGGTAGTGAGTATGGTTCTCCATGTGCAGATGAAGAGACTGAGGGTCAGAGTGACAGTGTGATTTGCCCATGGCTACATAGCTTGGAGTGGCCAGGCCAGGCTCATCCCAGAGCCCTGTTCCTAACCACTCTGTTCAGTTGCACTCACGTGCCAGAAATGTCTTGTGTATTTCTACCTCACTTATCAGGAACCATCAGAAAATCCAGTATAGAACACGTTCTGTGAAGGAGAACGTAAAGCCTCTGTGCTCAAAGAACTTTGAGGGTGTTTGTGGAGGTGTGGACAGCCTCCAGGAGTGTCCCAGCCATCACAGATCACATCCGACACCAGGCTGTTAGGCCGGTGCCCAGACCACACATCCATGGCAGAGCTAACGGGGAGAGGCTTCCGATCGAGTCCTGTGTTTATTTTTATGCTTCTGCAGAGCATTCTCACACCAGTCACCACAGTCAGGCCCAGTATAGAAATGAAAATCATCTTTTCCAGGTAGACTTGTGAAATCTAAAAAATTTTAAGTCCTTTTCTCTTTTTTGAGATGGAGTCTCGCTCTGTCACCCAGGCTGGAGTGCAGTGGCGCAATCTCAGCTCACTGCAACCGCCGCCTCCCAGGTTCAAGCGATTCTCCTGCCTCAGCCTCCCAAGTAGCTGGGACTACAGGCACATGCACATGCCGCCACACCCGACTAATTTTTGTATTTTTGGTAGAGACAGGGTTTTGCCATGTTGGTCAGGCTGGTCTCGAACTCCTGACCTCAGGTGATCCGTCCGACTCAGCCTCCCAAAGTGCTGGGATTACAGGTGTGAGCCACAGTGCCTGGCCAAAATTTAAGTCTTAAAAAGGAGAAAATATTTCCTTTTTTTTTTTTTGAGACAGAGACTTGCTCTGTTGCCCAGGCTGTAGTGCAGTGGCGCGATCTCGGCTCACTACAACCTCCGCCTCCTGGATTCACACCATTCTCCTGCCTCAGCCTCCCGAGTAGCTGGGACTACAGGCACCCGCCACCACGCCCGGCTAATTTTTTTTGTAGTTTTAGTAGAGATGGGGTTTCGCGCTTTGTTAGCCAGGATGGTCTCAATCTCCTGACCTTGTGATCCACCCGCCTCGGCCTCCCAAAGTGCTGGGATTACAGGCCACCGTGCCCGGCCTGAGAAAATATTTTCTTGTTTTAATTCCTCAAAACCAAGAAGAAATATGTTGAGTACTTCTTTGTATTTGATTTAATTCATAATATATTTAGAGCTGTGAAAATTTAGGGCAGCAGTCAACAAAGTACGACCTGCTGGCCAAATTTGGCCCATGGCCTGTGTTTGTAAATAAAGTTTCATTGGGACAGAGTCATGCCCATTTGTTCATGTATAGTCTGTGGCTGATCTCATGATATGACCACAGGTTAGTAGTCGCAGCAGAGATCATTTGGCCTTCACAGCCTAAAACAGTTGCTGTCGAACCCTTTACAGAAAAAGCATGCTGACCTTTGATCCACAGGGAAAAAATGGGGGACCAGTTTGAGGGAAAGGACCAGAGAGTTTCCCTTAAAACATTTTTAAAGACAGAGAAAGTGTTTCTAAAAAGGATTCTTTCAAGTTCTTCCCCGGCCTTCCATCCCCCTCTGATAAGCTAACTTTTGGTATTAGCCAACTCTAGAACGTTATTTCCTTGCATGCAGAGCCTCTCACTCCCCTTTTTCCTGGGCCACACGTGAAGCAGTGACTCACAAGGAGAAGTAACAAAGGGGCAGGGGGAGGAAGGGTCCTTCTGGATCGGAGGTCAGGAGGGCAGTGGGCAGGCAGCCTCCGCCTGCCACTGGCTGGAGTCGGACTGGGCTCAGAATCCAGATGCGCCCCTCTTGCTACTCTCTCCTCCCCTGGCTTGCCCCTGCGCAGCCTGGGACAAGCTGTAGCTGGAACTGGGGAAAGGAGTGTGGGAAAGTGGAGGGGAACCTGGGAAAGATGGAGTAACAATGCCTTCATGTATCTGAAGAGGGAAATTTACAAGCGGAACAAAGGGCCTTCCTCTGTTGAGACTTGGGAGACTGACTTCCTACCCCATGAGGTGCAGGCGAGAGGGTCTCCCCAGGGCCTCTCTGGGGTGACTGGGTAAGAGCCTTGCCTAGATGATGAACTCATACCCCCCTGCACTCCCTGCCCTAACCACTCAAGGTCCTGAGCTAGGGCTCTGTGCTTCTCTCCCACAGCTTCTGGCTGTGGTGTTCGACACCTTCAATGACATTGAGAAACGCAAGTTCAAGTCTTTGCTACTGCACAAGCGAACCGCTATCCAGCATGCCTACCGCCTGCTCATCAGCCAGAGGGTAGGAACTATGGGCCAGGGAGGGGCTTGGTCCCTGTCCTCCCTCCCTTGCCCAGAGCAGCCCCTAAGCATGGCCAGGCCAGCCACTTTAGAAACCAGGAACCCTGCCCTTGGAAGAATGAACAGAGCTGGAGTGGATCTGGAGTGGGTGCCCCAAGGGAAGGGGAGTAGCCTGGGTTCCACACTGCTCTTCCCTCTCCCCCAGAGGCCTGCCGGCATCTCCTACAGGCAGTTTGAAGGCCTCATGCGCTTCTACAAGCCCCGGATGAGTGCCAGGGAGCGCTATCTTACCTTCAAGGCCCTGAATCAGAACAACACACCCCTGCTCAGGTAAGAGCAGATGCCTGGTAGGGGCAGCATGGCCAGACAAGGTGTTCACGTCTAGAGTGAACGGGGGCATGTGAAGGCCCTTGAGGTGGGCAGGCCTATAGGCTTGTCAGAGACTTCCTCCACAGATGTTTATCCATGTAGACTTACACACTGGATTCATCAGGATGCCTTTTGCAAGTGACAAAAGTCCAACACAAATCCAATTCAAGCTGACTTGAGAAAAAAGGAGCTCATGAAGTGGACTGGCCCAGCTGCTGGCCCTCGAACCCCCAGTGGGGTGGGATAGTCCCATGTGAGCCAGGTGGACAGACAGGGGTGAATATACTTCCCCAATCCCCTGCACACACCTGGCTCGGCCGCAGAGAACTGACCCGAGATCTCCAGGGGTAGGATTGGTCTTCCAGGCTGTTGATGACCAAGCCCTGTCCACAGCAGCCTGCTGTGGAGCTGAGAACAAGCCCTGTTTGAGCTGAACTTGCAGTCCCAGGTGTTGCATTAAGGCCCCTGCTAAAAAGTGAAGTTTCCGTCCTCCTAAGAATCCTAGTGCTCCAGCAGCTGCCTCTCCAGGGCACTGACACTGTCCGTAGTTAGTGCCATCGGTGGAGACTTAAGTGGATTACATATTTGTAGTACCTCAAGGTCAGAGGAGATCCAAACGCTTGCAGGTAAAGGATCCCCCAGCACTGCTGTGCTGGGACTCACATGGTGTCCCCTCTCTTCCTCCCTCACCCCATAAAGGTGTCCATAGGCAGGCAAGTAAGAGAAGCAAAGCACAGTGGAACTATGTTCTGATATTTTGTCCCTTTTTATTTTGCTTTTGGTAGCCTAAAGGACTTTTACGATATCTACGAAGTTGCTGCTTTGAAGTGGAAGGTGAGTTCTTCTCTGAGACCATAGAAGGAGTAGACAGAGAGGTCCCCACGTGGGGCAGTGAGGAGCAGGGGCACCCCGAGATCCAGCTCTCTCCCTGCTAGAGCAGCTCAGCCCCCAGCTTGGCATGGTACACTTCAGGGATCACAGGTGGCCCCAGCCCCCAAATCTGCCCTTACATTTGTGATACAGTGTCATCGTTAACAGCACCGAATCTTACTTAGACCCCATTGGTTATTGTGTGACATCAGGCGGGTTACTGAGCCTTTCTGAGGCTTGTCTTACCTGGGAAGTGGCGTAAGGATAATCCCTACTGACAAACCTCATTTCAGGACTATACTAAAATAAGGCCTCTGCATGGCACATTGTAAACGCTCGGTACACACTGGCTGGCTGTGTTGTCATGTAGATCCCTGAAGGTTAACATTGTTCCCCAGTTTAGCAGGGTGAACAGGAAAGGAAGCCAGCATCCTGGCTCCAGGCAGGGCCCTGGTCCCTGGCCCTGACACCCTCCCTCTTGGTCCTGTTGTCTACCAGGCCAAGAAAAACAGAGAGCACTGGTTTGATGAGCTTCCCAGGACGGCGCTCCTCATCTTCAAAGGTAAGTGGGCTTGAGTATGGCAGGTGTTGGCAGCTGGGGGCCGATGGAGGTTTTCAGAGACCACAGATAAGCGTCTGAGGAGAGGTTCAGAGGGGTGTGTGTGTGTGTGTGTTTGTCTGAATGCCTGTGTGAAGAGACAGTGTGATTACCCCAGCAGGGACGTAAGGGTGGTAGGAAGCAGATTGGGAGAGAAATGGGTAACTTAACCCAACCAAAATGGGTAACTTAACCCAACCAAGACATTTGGGGTATTTTTCTTTTTTCATACAAAAGCAAAGATGTTCATTGAAGAAACTTGAAAGTGAGATAATTAGAAGTAAATGGAAATTTACCACCCAGATAACCACTGTTAGTTCTCTGATGTGTTTCCCTCTGTGCCATTTTTCTATGCATTTTTAAAACAGTAGGGTGACATTATATATTCCATTCTGTAATCTGCCTTTTCATCCAATAACACATATGTGTGTGTGTGTATATATATATGTGTGTGTGTGTGTGTGTGTATATATATGTGTGTGTGTGTGTATATATATATATATATATATATATATATATATTTTTTTTTTTTTTTTTTTTTTTTTTGAGGCGGCGTCTCGCTCTGTTGCCCAGGCTGGAGTGCCGTGGTGCGATCTCGCTCACTGCAACCTCCGCCTCCCAGATTCAAGCGATTCTCCTGCCTCAGCCTCCCGAGTAGCTGGGACTACAGGCATGTGCCACCATGCCCGGCTAATTTTGTGTGTGTGTGTTTTTAGTAGAGATGGAGTTTCACCATGCTGGCCAGGCTGATCTTGAACTCCTGACCTCGTGATCCACCCACCTCGGCCTCCCAAAGGCCTGGGATTACAGGCGTGAGCCACTGCGCCCGACCCCGATAATATATTTTTGCCCTCCTCTTATGGCAGGATGTATACTTTGCATGACCCCTTGAATAATGCTTGTGTAGTGTAAAGTTTGAAAATTTGAAATTGGGTGCTCGTATTATTTACCTGACAGTTGCCCCTTAATTTCATGCCAGTTTCAGCAGTGATCAGGAGAGCTTTGTCCTGCTCTATCTTGGTTCCAGGTTGCTCAGGCTCCCCCCAGAGCAGCTGTAGTCAGTGCAGTCTTGTCTGGGGGTCTGAGCAGAAGCATGGGTACCACTCTTTGAGCAGGACCCTCCTTTCTTCACCTCTGGGGTAAAGACCATGCTTACCTGCATGCACGAAGAGTGTGGTAGGTGGTTGCACCTGCCCAGAAAGAGATAATAATAATTAAGGATACAGTAGGGGGAACAAGTGCGTAAATTTACATTTTAACTTGTCTTTTCTTCAAATAGGTATTAATATCCTTGTGAAGTCCAAGGCCTTCCAGTATTTCATGTGTAAGTGTGAAATATCTCCACTCTAGGCCACTTTCCCCCTGAGTCCTTTGCTGTTCTAGAAGCGGGAGAGGCAAGAGATTGGTCCTAGAGTCCTGTGTTTGACTTTTTATTGTGGGGAATTCCCAGCATGTATAAAAGTGAAGAGAACATTACCACACGCATCCCCGTGCCCATCACCCATCTGTATCTTCACTCCGGCTCATCATCCTCTCTAGACCTAGATTTTTTGGAAGCAAATTCCAGAACCACAGAGTTGACTGGTCGATATGTCTCTTGAGTTTGTTTTAATCTATAGGCTTCTCTTCCTCACCTCATTTAGGTGAGGAAGCAGGATTTGGGTTTTGTATGTTCCTCTGTTGCCTTTTCCTGGAATTTGGTAGTTCTGTCTAGAGCCATGCTGTGCAGTGTGGAAGCCACTGGCCACATGTGGCAATTTACATTTAAGCTAATTAAAATGAAAAATTCAGCTTAGCTGTCACATTTCAAGTGATTAATAGCCACAAATGGCTAATGACTACCAATTGGATTGTGCAGATAAGAAAATTTGTATTGTCACAGAAAATTCCCTTGGACAGTACTAACCTAGAGGCTTGATCCAATTTGGTCTTTCCAAGGAGCTCTGGTTCCTTTTAGTAGGAAATGGTGTTAGAGACACAATTCGAGGTGCTGGGTGCTCATTGCTTGGGTTGGTCATTGTTTCTAGGCCTTTCCATGGACAGAACTAGGGTTTTGTTTTTTTTAAAGATAAACTGTTGTGCGTTCATGCTAATACTTCACATTCAGGCCTACAGCAATTTTAAGATTAAGAATCTAGATGTGTAAGACTGATTTCATCAATCTTACACGTCTAGATTCTCAATCCTTTTTTTTTTGAGACAGAGTCTCATTCTGTCGCCCAGGCTAGCGTAATCTGTGCTCACTGCAACCTCTGCCTCCCAGGTTCTAAGTGATTCTCCTGTCTCACTCACCTGAGTAGCTGGGATTACAGGTGTGTGCCACCACGCCCAGCTGTTTTTGTATTTTTAGTAGAGATGGAGTTTCACCATGTTGACCAGGATGGTCTCGAACTCCTGACCTCAGGTGGTCCACCTGCCTCAGCCTCCCAAAGTGCTGGGATTACAGGCGTGAGCCACGTGCCTGGCCTAGATTCTCAATCTTAAAATCCAGGTTGTCTTTGAAGACAATCAGACACCAACAAAGAAAAAAAAATAAATATCCAGGTTCCCAACTACACTGGCACAGTTATTCATTTGCTTTGTCTCACAGTCCCAGGATAACAATTGCAAAGCAATCCCAATGATATAATTACTAGAAACATCATTCCAATGATGTACATTCAGATTACTGTGGGTTTTTTTGTTTGTTTGTTTTGAGACAAAGACTTAGGTCTGGTGCCCTAGTGGCATAGTCATGGTTCACTGCAGCCTTGACCTCCCAGGCTCAATCCATCCTCCCACCTCAGTCTTCTGAGTAGCTGGGACCACAGGTGCATGCCACCACACCTGGCTAATTTTTTAATTTTTTGTAGAGACGGGGTAGCCTCATGTTGCCCAGGCTGGTCTCAAGCTCCTGGCCTCAAGCCATTCTCCTGCCTTGGCCTCCCGAAGTGCTGGGAGTACGGGTGTGAGCCAGTGTGCTTGGCCTTGTGTTTTAAGGTCATGTGGGATAGTTCCTCTCCATGTGGACATGTCACCAACTGGATACACATTTGGATTTCTTTTTTTTTTTTTTTTTTTTGAGACAGAGTCTCACTCTATCTCTGTCACCCAGGCTGTGGTGCAGTGGCATGATCTTGGCTCACTGCAACCTCTGCCTCCCAGGTTCAAGCAATTCTCCTCCCTCAGCCTCCCAAGTAGCTGGGATTACAGGTGCCCACCACCACACCCGGCTAATTTTTTTTTTTTTTTTTTTTTGAGACAGAATTTCACTCTGTCACCCAGGCTGGAGTGCAGTGGCGTGATCTCGGCTCACTGCAAGCTCCGCCTCCCGGGTTCACACCATTCTCCTGCCTCAGCCTCCCAAGTAGCTGGGACTACAGGCACCCACCACCACGCCTGGCTAATTTTTTTGTATTTTTAATAGAGACGGGATTTCCCCACGTTGGCCAGGCTGGTCTCGAACTTCTGACCTCAGTTGATCCACCTGCCTCGGCCTCCCAAAGTGCTAGGATTACAGGCATGAGCCACCGCATCCGGCCTACACATTTGGATTTCTTTATGCCATGTTATTTTTTATTTTGGGGGATTGCTTTTGGCATTTAATTTTGTTTTATGGCCGGGCATGGTGGCTCAGACCTAAAATCCCAGCACTTCAGGAGGCCGAGGCGGGTGGATCACTTGAGCCCAAGAGTTTGAGACCAGCCTGGGCAACATAGTGAGACCCCTGTCTCTACAAAAAAAAAAATACAAAAATTAACTGGGTATGGTGGCTCACACCTGTAGTCCCAGCTACTTGGGAGGCTGAGGTGGGAGGATCACCTGAGCCTGGGGAGGTTGAGGCTGCAGTGTGCCATGATCGCGCCACTGCACTCCAGCCTGGGCAACAGAGTGAGACCCCCCTATCTCAAGAAAAAAAAACCCAAATTTTGTTTCATAATTATGTAAATTAGGCCTGGGCATGGTGGCTTATGCCTGTAATCCCAACACTTTGGGAGGCCGAGGCGGGCAGATCACTTGAGGTCAGGAGTTCGAGACCAGCCTGAGCAATGTGGTGAAACCCCATCTCTACCAAAAATAGAAAAAATTAGCCATGCACGCCTGTGGTCCCAGCTACTTGGGAGGCTGAGGCAGGAGGATCACTTGATCCTGAGAGGCAGAGGTTGCAGTGAGTTGTGATGGTGCCACTGCACTCCAACCTGGGTAATACAGTGAGACTCCATCTCAAGAAAAAGCAAAAAAAAATTATGTAAAATACTTACATGGTTCCAAGTCAGATCTACCAAAAAAAGTATATTGAAGGAAGTTTAGTTTATATCCCTGTCACTTCCCACAGTGGGCAACTTTTATGTATGGCTTCTCCTTCCATTGTTTAAAACCTGTAAGTTGGATACCTATCAATATATCTGTCTTAAACAATAGCATATTTTATGCACTTTTTTCTGCCACCTGGCTTTTTGCAGTTAACAATATGCCCTGGAGACCGTAATATGTAGAAATGAGGCTGGGTGTGGTGGCTCACACCTGTAATTCCGGCACTTTGGAAGGCAGAGGCAGGTGGATTGCTTGAGCCCAGGGGTTCAAAACCAGCCTGGGCAATGTGGCAAAACCCCATCTCTACAAAAAATACAAAAATTAGCTGGCGTGGTGGTGTGCACCTGTGTTCCTAGCTACTCAGGAAGCTAAGGTGGGAGGATTGCTTGAGCCCAGGAGGTGGACGTTGCAGTGAGCCAAGATCACGCCCCACTGCACTTCAGCCTGGGTAATAATAAAACCCTGTCTTAAAAAAAAAAAAGTAATATGTAGAAATGTACCTCATTTCTTTTCTTTCTTCTCTCTTAGAGAGAGGGTCTTGCTCTGTCACCCAAGCTGGAGTGCAGTGGCACAAGCATAGCTCACTGCAACCTTGACCTCCTGGGTTCAAACGATCCTCCCACCTCAGCCTCCTGAGTAGCTGGGCCCACAGGTGCACACTACCACACCTGGCTAGTTATTTTTATTTTTTGCAGGGATTTGGTCTCCCTGTGTGCCCAGGCTGGTTTCGAGCCCCTGGGCTCACGCAATCCACCTGCCCCAGCCTTTCAAAGTGCTGGGATTACAGGTGTGAGCCACTGTACCTAGCCTGTGTTTCTTTTTTATGGTTAAAGTATGCCAGTTTATGAATGTATCGTAGTCTGTTCAACCAGTCCCCTACTGATGATCATTGAGATTGTTGCCAGTGTTTTGCTATCACAATAGTGCTGCGGTGAGTAGCTTTCAGATACATCTTATATTTTTGCTAGTGTGTCATTGGGATGGTTTCTGGAAAGTGGGATTGCTAGGCGAATGGCTTAATGCATATGCAGTTTTTCTAAAGAGTTCATGCAATTATTTTAAAATTAGAAGTCTCTAGGGGAAAACAAGTGTTTTCAATACTTGAATGCCTGGTATATTGTCCCTCTTTTACCTCAATTTGGAATAATCTCTACATCATAACTGGTATTCATACAGTGACAGAGGGAGTGTTTTTAGAAATTTATAGCTGTTTCTAGGTGAAAACACTGGTTGATTTAGCTCCCTTGGTAAGAGCACTGAGCAGAAAGAAGTTCCCTATCAAATGGGTGTGTGGAGCAGCCCTGTTCTCCCCATCCCGTAGAGCTCCAGGAAGTTAACCAGGGACTTCAGCTGCGACCTGCAGATTTCTAAGCCCCCCTGTTATTTCTCTGTCTTTTACGGGCCTGTGTATTTCAGACTTGGTGGTGGCAGTCAACGGGGTCTGGATCCTCGTGGAGACATTTATGCTGAAAGGTGAGCCCCGCTCAGGGACTGGCCGTGTCCTGGCCGGCACACCTGGCTTACCTGTGAGCTGCTACTTCTCTGTCTTACAGGTGGGAACTTCTTCTCCAAGCACGTGCCCTGGAGTTACCTCGTCTTTCTAACTAGTACGTTTCCGACATGGCTTTGCTGGACTGCTTGTTTTAAAATTGTCTGGGAGAACTTTCATTCAGTGTAGAACCTCATGGTTCTTCTCTAAAACAGGAAGCTATAAAGAGACGGAGTAATCAGTCTGATTCCATCTCGTCCCCGTTTAAAACTCTTTCGTGGTTGTCCGCTGCCCTCTGGATGGAGCCCAGATCCTAGGCGTGTGTGACCCTCCACTCGGCTCTGCAGCCCTGCTGTTTGCCAGCGCCGTGTCCCCCGCTGCACACTGTTGCTCTCCTCAGCAGCCTCTGCTCCCTGCTGCTCTTGCCTGCCTCTGGGCTGTGCACAGGGGTTTCCTCTGCCTGGTGGTGTCTTCCTCTAACCTCTGCCTGACTTTCCTGCTCTTTCCATCAAGTCTGAGCACACTGTGTTGTCATTCCCTGTTGGCGTCTTTCCTCCCACCTAGCTGATAAGCTCTGTGCCCCCAGGGTTGCCCTGCACTGGTCACTTTTGCACACCTGGTACCCAATGCAAGGCCCAAGGTAGAAGGGGTAGTCAGGACACACCTGTTGGATGGACAGATGGTTAGCTGGGCCCTGCCCAGAGACAGGCAGGGAGGATTTCTCTCTCTTTTTTTGGGGCAGGATCTTTCTCTGTCACCCAAGCTGGAGTGCAGTGGCGTGATCATAGCTCACTGCAACCTCAACCTCCTGGGCTCAAGGGATCCCGAGTAGCCTCAGCCTCCCAAGTAGCTGGGATTACAGGCACACAGCGCCACAATGCCTGGCTAATTTTTGTATTTTTTGTAAAGATGGGGTCTCACTATGTTGCTCAGGCTGGTCTCCAACTCCTGGGCTCAAGTGGTCCTCCTCTCTTGGCTTCCCAAAGTGCTGGGATGATAGGTGTGAACCCCTATGCCTGGCCAGTTTCTCTTAAGCAGATTACCCAGTTGGCCACCATCTAGGCCCTCTCCTGGAGCACCTGCTCTCACGCTGGGACATGAGTGAGGCCTGGGCTCAGCCTGGAGGGCTTATGGCCAGCAGGGAGGCTGCAGACTGTGGAGGAGCCTCAAAGAGGAGACCGAGCATGGGGGAGGATGTGGCGGGGCTGCTGCCGATGGATTCCTTCTGTCCACAGTCTATGGGGTGGAGCTGTTCCTGAAGGTTGCCGGCCTGGGCCCTGTGGAGTACTTGTCTTCCGGATGGAACTTGTGAGTGGACAGCATGTTTCTGACCCAAAGCTGAGACTCTTGAGGATGGCCCCAGACCCTTCTCTGCACACCCTGATCCCGGGCCATTTCTGGAATCGCAGAGGGAGGGTCTGAGGATGGGCTGAGGCCTATGTCTCCCTCAAGCAGCCCTGCCCACAGCCCAGGAACTCCCCAGGGTCAGGCCCTTGTCTGAAGCCTCTCAGACCACCCACACCGTCCTTCTGGAAACGGCCTCTTGAGGTGCCATAGACTGATTGGCTCTTCCTGACTCATTAAACTTTTTTCTCTTCCATAAAAGCCACAATGCCCACAGAAAAGAATGCTCCCCCCCTTCCTTGATCAGCAGTAATGAGACCCCATGTGGCCCTTCTCCCTATTCCCCAGAGCGTTGGAGGTCACTTCCCTGCCCTGTTCAAGTTAACCGGCCTGTGAAGTCAGGCTGCACTCATGAGGTCTTGGGCCGCGAGGGTGAGCGGGTTAACACGCAGAGCGGAGTTGGGAGGAGCCGACAGCACGTGTGTGCCCTGCGTGTCTGGAGAGGAGAGAGGGTCCTCTGGCTTGGGGCAGGGCGAGCTGTTCTCCCGATGGGAATCTCACTGGAAGGGCCTGCTCTCTTCCCTCAAAAAGTTCCTTGGGGTCAGGCTGGTCTGCAGTGTGTAACCAGATGTCTGTTGAGCGGAAGACGAGGCCTGTCTCCAGGGCTGCGGAGGCCAGGGCTGCAGAGGCCGGGGCTTCTTTCCTTCTTGTCGTTAGACCAGCATGGGGCCCTTTGTAGGGGTTCCCGGGCATTTCTGGCCTTGGGGTCAGAGCACTGAGGCCTGACCCGTGAGACGCATGCTGGGACAGGGCCTGGCCACCTTGAAACCCCAGGGTGGCAGGAAGTTCTTCCCGCAGCCGGCTGGTTCCTGTTGGTGTTGCTGTGTCTGGGCTCTGTGGGAGGGTGGCTGTGCACAGGGCCAGGGAGGGGAGCAGGCGCAGGTAGGCTCAGGGCCACAGGGTGGACCTTGGCCTCTCCCCTACTGCAGGTTTGACTTCTCCGTGACAGTGTTCGCCTTCCTGGGACTGCTGGCGCTGGCCCTCAACATGGAGCCCTTCTATTTCATCGTGGTCCTGCGCCCCCTCCAGCTGCTGAGGTGATGGGCAGGGCAGAGCCGGAGACAGGGAGAAAGAGAGGGAGGACGGGAATGCCCCAGGATTGATCCGGGAAGTGACCCAGAATGAGCCAGAAGGTTCACAAGCCAGAGTCACAGATGTCACCCCCTGGAGAATCACCATGGGGTCAACATCCCCACCCCTGAGGGTGTGCAGGCTGCCTGTGCCCTTCCCCTCACTGCACCAGGTGCCTCTGGGCAGAGAAACCCAGCCCATGACTCATGTGCACCCCACCTGAGGTGGCATTGCACCAGCGACAGGAGCCCATATGCTCAAGTCACAGATCACAGAGCCACAGGTCTGAGGGTTGGAAGGGCCTTTCAGGGGCCCTGCGTGCTTTTCTGGCTCAGCGTCTTATGGAGAAAAACCCTCGTGTGGGTCCCACTGGTTTCCCAGGGACACTGGAGAAAGTCCCAGACGAGCCTGCCCCACTGACGGTGTCTCTTCCTAATGAGGGGTCCCGAGGTCCTGTGCCCTCAGAGCCTGGGCTTGCCTCCTGACCCTCCAGCTGCAACCCCATCCACGTCCGCCCCATCCTCTCCCAAGGCGGGACAGGCGGGGCAGGTGCGGGGAGGGGTGGTGGCGTCTATGGAGGAAAAGCCTACCCCCTTGGCGTGTGGGGGTGGCCTGGGGCTGCTCCTGAGTGTCCGCCTCCGTCCCGCCCCCTGCCACCCTTCTTCACTGGTGAGCTCCATTGCCCCCGCTCCCCGGGGCACATGGGCTTCTCCCCGCTCTTTCCCAGGAGCAAGGCCTTGCTCCTGTCTGAGCCTGCAGCTCTACTGCAAGGAGATGTGGCCTGGCCCTGCTCCTCTTCGTGGAAGGACCCCGCCCAGCCGGTGTCCTGGGGCTGCCACCATCCCTTCCCTCATGCATGAATCACCTGAGCCCAGCTCAGGGTTGGTGGCGCCCAAGGGAGTGGACGCAGGTGGAGGAGAGGCCCTCACCTGTCTTCACCGCATGGCGTGTGGAAGGCGGGGCCGGCATGTTCTGAGGGCGGGGGCTGAGGCGTGCACCTGTGTGTGGAGGTGACGGGTGTCCTCCTCGCTCAGGTTGTTTAAGTTGAAGGAGCGCTACCGCAACGTGCTGGACACCATGTTCGAGCTGCTGCCCCGGATGGCCAGGTACTGCCAGCCCCCACCCTGGCCTGCAGGTCCAGGTGCCGTGTGGCAGTGCCCCGTGGGGGCGGGAGCCGAGTGGCAGTCGGGGGAAAGGAGTTCCACAAAGGACTGCAATCGAGGGCCTGACGGGGCTCCAAGGAGCCTGGAATCTTGACCACCACAGGTCTCCTGGGCACCATTTTTCTCCACTGACCTGTCTGACATATTTAGTAGGGAGGGCAGGGAGCTGTCAACTCGCTTACCACCTGTGTCTACATTCACAGGTAAGGGGTCACCTGTGAGTCTACCTTCACAGGTAAGGGGTGAATCTCTGGGAAAGGGGCATTTGTTCATAGCGTCCTGACTTGAGCTGTTTTTCACCCCAGAGCTGCCCCACGAGGCCCCTTCCCCGCAGGCACTTTCCAGTTGGTGAACCGACCAGGGGCATGGCCCTGCAGTCAGCCCCACGGGTCCGAGGAGGCCGGGGCTGCAGAGGAGCCGTTCCCTCCTGCCGGCCCCGCGTCACCCTGCCCCTGTCGCCCCACAGCCTGGGCCTCACCCTGCTCATCTTTTACTACTCCTTCGCCATCGTGGGCATGGAGTTCTTCTGCGGGATCGTCTTCCCCAACTGCTGCAAGTGAGTAGGCCCCACCCAGCCCCAGGCAGCCTGCATTTCCCGGGCAGAGGGCTGGCCAGGGCCAGGATTGGTGTCCTTGTGGCCTTGGGGTCCTCGGGGATGTTCCTGTCTAAGCAACCACCTTGCTTTGCTTTCAGGGCTTAGTTGAGTGCAGTGAGCTAAATGAGGGGCCTGGACTCGGGGTCCCTGTTTCTCCATCCCCCAGGCAGGGTTGGGAGCTGTCAGCTCACCCTCTGCCGAGGGCTGGAGGCCACCCCCACAGTAGCCTGGGTCCCAAGGTCAAGTCCCATGGCTTCCTCCCACTTCTCTCCTGGAGTGGCTGGGGACCTGGGCCAAGACCAGTCTTCTAGGGACAGCATCGTAGGATAAGACAGACGGACACGTGCAGGAAGGTCATGGTGCTCAGGGATGGGGAGCAGAGAGTGAAATCTCCCATGAGCACTCCCTTTCTCCTGAGCCGCCACAGTGAAATCACTGCACACTGCCATTCATTCATCCTCAATTCAGAGAGTCCTCTTACATTTGGTCTTTACAGCCTCAAGCACCGATGAAGAAACAGTTTTACAAAGACACTGGTAGCTTTGAGACCCAGTTTGAGTGTCAAGCTTGGTCTGGAACCAGAAGCCTATAGCAGTGGGTCCCAGACTTTAGAGCCCATTGCAGTCACCAGGGAGCTTAGTGCAAGCTCCAGACCTCACTCTTGTGTCTGATGCATGCGTGTGGGAGGAGGCTCCCTGGTGGCCCAAGCACTAGACTTTTATAAACATTAGCATGGATATTAACAGAACAGCCATAAAAGATTGGAAGGAAAGTGGCAAATAAGAGCTCCTCAAAACAGGGCCAACCTTTTCAAATACTTGCTCAGGCCAAGTATTGGGGAAGCCCCAGTAGGGAATTCCTTCCCTGGGACTGTGGCCTAGTGTCCAGCCTCAAGAGCAGATCCTAGATGGGGCAGGTGCAGAGGAGGCCCTTGCCTCTCCTCCCTCCCCTGCAAGCAACGGTGAGAGAGAAGGCCCTGCCTGCAGCAGACAACTTCCAGGTGACAGAGGTGGGTCAGGCTGGCCAGGGGATCCCGCCAAGCCCAGCAGGCAGGAATAGCCAAGGGCATTCCTTCAGCAGGGACCCAGGCATGAGGTGGAGAGGGTTAGGCAGGAAACCAGGCTGCGGGCAGAACAGAAGGATCCTTGGCCAGAACTCGGTTTGTTTCAGACTTCTGTCCTCTCTGGAGGTGACTGATCGCCTTGTGACCCTCCCTCCTTTCTCCCTTGTGCTCCGGCCAGCACGAGTACAGTGGCAGATGCCTACCGCTGGCGCAACCACACCGTGGGCAACAGGACCGTGGTGGAGGAAGGCTACTATTATCTCAATAATTTTGACAACATCCTCAACAGCTTTGGTGAGTGGGAAAAATCACAGGGGGCACATTCCCTGGGGACCCCACCCTTGTCACCCTTGTCACCACGGGTCCCAGAGGTGGTGTAGCAAGTGTCTGGGCCACACTTTCTGGAAGCCTCCCTGGCCCAGGTGGAGGACTTGGTCTGCCCAGCTTTGGCAGTACAGTCCAGGCTGGATCCTGGAGCTCACTCAGTTGCCTGATTCCACTCTTTCCTGATATTTTCTCAGTACCGGGGAGGACAAGAGTTGCAAGCCTTAGCTGGGCGGGGTCCCCTCATCACAGTGCCACTTGCAGAATGGGACCCAGCCACACCACTGCTGCTGCAGCTGCACTGCCCCCTGGCTCAGACTGCACACAGCCCTCTGCCCACTCCCATGAAGAGGCGAACACAGCCAAACCGCCTCTCCAGAAAAAGGGTGTGCCCCCATGACACCCCAGATCTGCACCCAGTAAGATCCAGATAGTCTGATGTGGCACAGGCTGCTGAGGCAGAGGGTGTGTTCTCTTGGGGGCAGGCCATGATGTCCTGTGGAGCCAGCGCCCTAGGAGTGCCTTGCCTGGTCTTTCCTGGAGCTCACAACCCAAGCGGTCATATGGTGACCCTCTCATCTTAGCACATGGCACCCAGGATAGGTGGCAAGAGGCCACTTGAAATTGACTTTGAAGTGGGGTCTCATCAGGATGCTTCTTTCTCTCTTCCCTCGGCAGTGACCCTGTTTGAGCTCACAGTTGTCAACAACTGGTACATCATCATGGTAAGAGCTCGGGCAGCTCTGGGGGTATCTTCCCGCCAGCCCTGGGGTCGGCCCTGGGTCTCCCCCAACCCAGAGTATATAATTCTTCCCGTAGCTTGCAGGGCTGGGGGTCTTGAGTCATGCTGTGTTGGTGTTCAGTGGGGAGGCCACAGGATGGCTGGGCCCCAGGAGCCACCCCTCCCAGTGTTGGCTGGACTCGGCTGTTACTCCCATCTCCCTGCATGTCCCCAGCAGCCAGGAGATGCCACTTAGACTCTGGGTCTCTGTCCTGTCTCGCCCACTGTAGAGATGACTTTTCCCTCTAGTGACAAAGTGGCGAGCATTGCTGATCTCTTTATTCCATTCCTTAAACTTTCCCGACTCCCAGCCCTACTGGGATAAAGGCTGCCCTGGTTCTGGATCCAGTCGTCCAGGGGAGTGGCCAGGGCTCCTTCAGCAGTCAGGAATTAGTGTTAGGCCCAGAGGGGCAAGCTTCCTCTCCTCCATCTCTCACAACCAGCCACAAATCACGGTGGGGTCTGCGAAGAGCCGGGGCCATGGAGCAGCCTGTGTAGACGGGGACCTGCCCTGCATGGGCACCCCCTCACTGGCTGCTTCCCTTGGTCTCCAGGAAGGCGTCACCTCTCAGACCTCCCACTGGAGCCGCCTCTACTTCATGACCTTTTACATTGTGACCATGGTAGGTCCCGGACCACAGAACGCTCTTTGTCCTTCGTCTTCCACATCACCAGCTGCCCCTGCTCTTCAGCCTGCAGCGTCAGGGAGTGGGGCTGGGTCCCATCTGGCCGGACTCTGTTGGGCGTGGGCTGCGCAGCCACGGACACCTACCCACCCTCCTCCCCTGCCTCTGCCCCTCCCTCCCTATCCCTGGCCAGGTGGTGATGACGATCATTGTCGCCTTTATCCTCGAGGCCTTCGTCTTCCGAATGAACTACAGCCGCAAGAACCAGGACTCGGAAGGTCTGTGCAGGGATGATGCCTTGGGCATTTGATATCTGCCGCCTACCCAGCTCTGTCTGTCTGTCTGGGTGGCTGTCCAGCCAGCCATCAGGCTGTCATTTTTCTGCTGTCTGGCTGTCCAGCTTATCTATCTGGCTTGTCTTTCTAGATCTTGTATTTGCATTGATTTTCAAATATTTAATGTCAGAAAACGTAATCTAACTTTAAAATAAGACAGAGCATGTCATAGTTGGAGAAAAATCAAGAAGTAGAGAAAGGCTTATGTGGCAGCAGCAGCCCCTGCCCTGCCTTTCCCTCCCGTCCTCCAGAGGCTTCTCCTTCTTGGCTATTTCTTCTGTTAGTCATCTCCACGTTTCTCAATAATAGGTTCACACTACGGTTCTTGATTTAAATGGTGTAAATATTGCTTATGGCACAGGCGAATCGTATTCCTGCTGCAACTGGATGGTGCTGGCTTTAGTGACTGCCTCACTCTTCCCAGATTGCACAGCTTTCTGTGTGCTGACCCTCCCTTCTTCCCAAATTCTCCATCAAAACTGTCTGCACTTGATCTCTTGAGCCCAGGAGGTCAAGACTGCAGTGAGCCATGATCACACCACTGCACTCCAGCCTGGGCAGCGGAGTGAGACCCTGTCTCTTAAAAGAAACAGAAAACCCTGTGCCCACACTTGTTACCTCTCATCCTCAGATCTCTGTGCTATCAGACCATCTGACCATTTTCTCTGTGCTTAGAGGCCCCTTCCTGAAACCCTCTGGCCCTGTAACAGCTGCCAGCTAGACCTGCGCTCCTGACATCACAGCAGAGGGAGGGGAAGGGAAAGGAGGGCCAACGAGGAGAGCAGGACACCAATGCAGTGTCGGTTTAGAGAGAGAACCTTAAGACCCCCTGCGGAAGGGGGCAAGGAGGTACGAGACCCAGCCAGGTTGGCAGCTGCAGCCCCGGGCCCTTCCCACACCTGCCTTCCATCCCTGCAGTTGATGGTGGCATCACCCTTGAGAAGGAAATCTCCAAAGAAGAGCTGGTTGCCGTCCTGGAGCTCTACCGGGAGGCACGGGGGGCCTCCTCGGATGTCACCAGGCTGCTGGAGACCCTCTCCCAGATGGAGAGATACCAGGTGAGGAGCCCAGGCCCTGGTCCGAAGGAGGGAGGCAGGTTTCAGTGTGGGTGGCATAATCCCTTCCCTCAGATATTGGTAACATTTTGAGTGACACAGTTGCAAAAGCCAGAGAAGTGGGAGACGCCAACTGTGGCACCAGGGGTGGGACCTGAATATCTGCAGCCGAGCCCTGCAGCCTCTGCTCTTCCTTAGCAACATTCCATGGTGTTTCTGGGACGGCGATCAAGGACCAAGAGCGACCTGAGCCTGAAGATGTACCAGGAGGAGATCCAGGTAGGAGCCTGGCCGACCACGCTGCGAATCCTCCCCCAAGCTATGTCCTGGGAGGGGCAGGGAGCTGCTCTCTGGCCCTCTGAGTAGAGGGAGAAGGCTGGTAGAGAGATGCAGACCGTCCATCGGGACCACTGCTGGGGTTGTGTGGGACCTGAGCGGGGCTCACTTAGCCTTGAACCCTTGACTCGTGCCCAGCAGAGGCAGCTCTCCAGCCTGCCTGCCGCCATATGTCCCTGCCCCTTATGAATTCTCCAGAACCTCCTCTCCATCTCTTACTCTGAGTCAGCTGCAAACTCAAACATGTGTACTAAGAAACACAGTGAGCAAAGAGGAAAGAGCGGCGACCGTGGTGAACTGGCAAGGATGTCCCTGTCCAAAGGAGACAGTCTCCTCCCAGCTCCAGGATGTGCCTGTCCAAAGGGGACACAGCCTCCTCCCAGCCCCAGCGAGTGCTGCCCAATAGGAAGAAGGCCCTACTGCGGTCGGGCTGCTTGGTGTTTTGTTTTGAGATGGAGTCTCGCTCTGTCTCCCAGGCTGGAGTGCAGCAGCACGATCTAGGCTCACTGCAACCTCCGCCTCCTGGGTTCAAGCGATTCTCCTGCCTCAGCCTCCCGAGTAGCTGGGATTACAGGCACACGCCACCACACCTGGCTAATTTTTGTATATTTAGTGGAGACGGGGTTTCACCATGTTGGCCAGGCTGGGAGTGCTTGGGATTTTTCATAATTGGGTGTTTTTTGTTTTGTTTTGTTTTAGAGATGGTATCGCTCTGTCACCTGGGCTGGAGTCCAGTGGCGTGATCATAGCTCACTGTAGCCTCCAACCCCTGGGCTCAAGTGATCCTCCCCACTCAGCCTACCCAAGCAGCTGGAACTACAGGTGTGCACTGTGACACCCTAATTACCTTATTTTTGTAGCAGTGAGGTCTTGCTGGGGTCTCAAACTCCTGGTCTCAAGCAATTCTTCCACCTTGGCTTCTAATTTAAGAAAAGGCAGGCCAGGCATGGTGGCTCATGCCTGTAATCCCAGCACTTTGGGAGGCCAAGGCAGGCGGATCACTTGATGCCAGGAGCTCGAGACCAGCCTGGCCAACATGGTGAAACCCTGTCTCTACTAAAATTACAAAATTTAGCCAGGCCTGGTTCCGTGCACCTGTAATCCCAGCTACTGAAGAGGCTGAGTCAGGAGAATTACTTGACTCCAGGAGGCAGAGGTTGCAGTGAGCCAAGATCATGCCACTGCACTCCAGCTTGGGTGACAGAGCTAGACTCTGTCTCAAAAAAAAAAAAAAAAGGCAGAATCAGATGTTTTTCTTTTTTTGCATGACCTCCCAATCTTTACATATTGGCAGCTAAGGAAAATATCTCACAAAGCACCGTGTGGGCTGGCATTTGGCACGGTGCCTTCCAGACCATGGGCCACCAGCCCATGAGCCCTGCAGAGTCTTCTCAACCACCTCAGGGTTGCCAGGGCTCCGGGGAGCCTCTCCCACACCAGCTATGGTGGCTTTGCTCTGTTTTCTGGCATTCTAATAGCTTGAAGCCCTTCTGTTTCACTAAAACAGTGACAACCAGGGTCCATGCCTGAAAAGCGGGGGGTGCTGTCCCCAAAGCAGCTTACACATTCTCCGGGAACACAAGAGACTCAGGCAGTGTTCTTTGGGCTGATGTGTAGTGGCTCACTGAACTTGGTGTCACAGAAACATGGAAATAATAGAAGCGTTTGACCTTGGGCAGTCACTCCATGCCTCCCTGTCTGTGCAAGGGGATGACTGTGCAGCAGCACCCATTCAGGTGTGGTTGGAAGGAGGTGTGCTGCCCTTGGCCTCTGCCCTTCTGCCTGTCCATCTGCTCCAGGCCTCAGTTTCCCCCTCTGTAAAACAAGGGGGCCAGAACTAGGCCATCTCGAAGCTCTAAAAGTCTATGGTTCAGTCTTTTAAAAAGTAGGGTAGGGTATGGTGGTGCACACCTGTATTTCCAGCTGCTTGGGAGGCTGAGGCGGGAGGATCATTTGAGCCCAGGAGTGGGAGGCTGCAGTGAGCCGTACCTCGCCACTGCTCTCCAGCCTGTGCCACACAGTGAATCTCTGTCTCCTAAAAAAAAAAAAAAAAAAAAGGAAATGTGGGGTATACTTAATTCCTTAATTACCTGAATACCTCAGTCCCTGAAAATGTCAGAGTTTATAATCATGGCCTTAGGCAGGTGAGGTATTCAGCACAATACAGCTCTAAGCCTCGGTGTCTCGGGTGTGAAACAGGGACACAATTCCTGCCAAGCTCAAAAGGGGTCACTCGGGGGGCCCTTTAGTGAAGGACAAAAGGTTATGCTCACAAACAAGGGGTGAGGGTTGTTCCTGCCTGGGCCTGTTAGAGAGCTGTTATGCGCAAACCTCCAGACACTAGGGAAAGATTTCATTGTCATTTTTGCCTCTGGGGCCACATTCAAAATTCCCAGCATTTCTGGGCCTGTGACGGGGGTTTCAGTACCAGCTGGGTGAGGCTGGCAGCCCTGCCCCTTCCAGCCTGGATGCTGTGGGCTGTGTGACCTTGTGGGGTGGGCGGGGCAGGGGGTGGGGTGCAGCCCTCAGCACCCCTTCTGCTCTCTTCTCCAGGAGTGGTATGAGGAGCATGCCAGGGAGCAAGAGCAGCAGCGACAACTCAGCAGCAGTGCAGCCCCCGCCGCCCAGCAGCCCCCAGGCAGCCGCCAGCGCTCCCAGACCGTTACCTAGCCCAGCGCCCGAAAGCCGTCTCTTCTATGCAATAACACAATAGTATTACTCTACTGCGATGTACGGAACTGCGGTGTGTGTACACATACTCACGTATATGCACATATTTATATACAGGAAGAAAAAAGACAGACAAGATGGGGCTTGGTTTATAACCACCTTGCCCTGTCTTCCTTAACTCCAGAAGCCAGTTTGGTGAGGGGTGGGGGTGCGGCCACCAGGTCTGAGCTCTTCCTACTGTGGAAGGCTCCAGAAGGCCCTTCACAAGGAGACCCCTCACCTGGATCCAGTCGACTGCGGGGCTTGCCCCTCATGTGGGCTGGCCTCCATCGGCCACGTCCAAAGCTGTCACTGCTACTGCTTCAGGCTCACATCCCCCCGACCTGATGGCGTGCCCGCCCCCTCTCCCTGCGGCCCATGCCACAGGTTTCTGTGTTTTGCTTTAGGGACAGAACCACTTAGGAAGGAAAGAACTCCCGGTCTCCAGGGTGGTATTTCAGTGTCTGTGATAATGTCACGCAACACCTCTTCGGGGACCAGTGCCCAGGATCTAATGGAAGCGGAATTGGGGCAACTGGGCCCATGTGGCCAGAGCTCAGTTAGCCAGTGCCGGGCGGCCACAGATTACACTGACCAATCTCCTCCCTTGGCTCTGCAAGCCTCCCACCCAGCCTTCTCTGGCTTAACCCTTGTTGGCGAAAACTCTTCCACAGTGGCCTCCTTGGGGACCCAGAACCCGGAGGAAGGGGCATGAGGCAGGAAGTGGGGCCGATGTCTGCAACCCAGACCACTTCGTGGAATGGGCTCTTGACCAAATCCCTTTTTTTGCGATTTACCCGTTCAAGCAAAACAACGTTTTGGTTAACTAAGGATTGTGCTAAAGCCGATACCAGGTCCTTCACACGTGTGCACTAGGAACAGGAGCGAACAGCACAGAGAGACGCTCCCTGTGGGACGCAGCAGCCCCGTGGCCCCGGCCCAGTTCCCAGCCACCCTCCCTGGCTCTGCTCACACCAGAGATTTCCATAGCAGGAGCGGTTGGTGCAGAAGTAGGTTCAGATGAACCTCAGTTAACGTCGCCACCCCTCCTCCCACCATGGTACCCTGTAGGAGCCCTGTATGACATCTGAGCGTGGTGGAGGTAGGAGGGTTGCCAGCTGCAGTGACCCTGCCACAGAGGCAGGGTCAGTGCAGAGGTCGCTTTGGTTCCGCTTCCCTGGGCCACAGAACGGAACACAGCATAGGTTCTGCAGCAGGAGCCGCAGTGGCAGGATGGAGGGTGCGAAGGGCAAGGAGTGCACTGCTGGGCATTCCTGGCCAGCCCCGGCCCTCTGGTGCCTGCTTCCTGTGACTTCAGAAGGCAGGTGGACAGAGCCTCCCTCTGGCCTTGTCCTCTTCCCAGCCACAGAACGGGCAGGGTGGCACCCGACCCCAGGGGAGCAGTACCTGGTCCCCCACCCCCTCCTCCCAACCACCTCCAAGGCCAAGCTGGGTCCCATAGCCAGCACGGCATGGTTCTCCCCTTCCCCCCTTCCCAGGTCAGGGGAGTTGGACAAGTAGCAGGTGTTTGTTTTTAAAGCACAGCCCTTTGGGAAAGCAACACATTATTGAGACTCACTGTGATTCCCCCGGGAGTCAGACTGGCTTTGTCCTCTTCCTCTCTGGAGGGCCATGGGCCATCAGCAGGAGCTCCACATCGAGCCCCAGGCCAGAACCCCCTCCCTTTCACAGAGAGGGAACTTTATTGCACAATTGGGTGCCTTTTAGCTTTTGTGTGTTGAAATGGGCGTTTTGGAAGCAAGGGTCAGGGGACAGCTTCTAAAGGTGTGAGTCTCTGACCTGAGCATCTGGGCCTCGCCTGGGCCCTTCTTCCTCCCCAGGGGTGGAAACGTGGAGGGGCCAGCAGCACCCCGGGGTCTGCCCAGGGGAGTCAAGGCCCCGAGGTGGGGGGGCCTATTCCAGGAGGAGTGGGATCTCGGCCCTGTCCAGAGCGAGTTAATGTGTCCATCTGCCCAACCCTGTCCTGAGAAAGGACCTGGTTTTGGCCAGGACCTGACAAATACCCAATGGCAGCAGTGTCAACAGACGGGAGTCCAGCCAGGGTGGGTGCCCTTGTCATTGAGGTTAGGGACAGCTATCCCCAGGTTATGCCTGGCCCCACCCAGCAGGGAGTTGGGGTCCCCCCACAGGCTGTGAGCTCTGTGGGCCCTGGGATGTGATCTAGCTCAGATGCCCTCTCATCCTTGATGTCATAGTTGAGTGCACCCAAGTGGCACCCACTGGCGGCCAGGGGCACAGCCTGGTGGTGGTGGCAATAGAACTGTGCCCCTCCTCAGCTCCTCGCTTCCCCTCCCACAGCCCCAGCCTTACTCCACCATGCGGACAATCATTTTGTACGGATCACGGGAGCAATGCTGTACGGTTTTGTACACTGGTGGTTTGTTTCCTAGAAAACCCATTGTGTCTCTGGATTTCTAGCACATTACTAAAAGAGCCTCTGCTTTGTAAACATGGCTGCTGCCTCTTGACTTCTGTGGCTTTGGGTATTGTCGGGAGAGTGGCCCCATCCAAGGCCATGGCCATTCCTGATCCTGCCTCAGCCCCACCCCGAGCTGTGCCCTGGGGTCAGCCACTTGGCACTGGCCCCAGGTGAGGAAGAACTGGTAAAAGTTGGGGGTGTCATTTTCTCTACACTTGAAATTTTGACTTTTTTTTTATTTGGAAAAGAGACAGTTGAATCCCTTTTCTTTACCAGCATAAGGCAGTCAGGCAAACCTAAGAGTTGCTTATTTCGGCAACATAAGGCGGGGTCATTGCATGACAGCAAGAAGGCACGAGGTCCCCTCATCTGTCCTTTCCCAGCTCGCAGGCCTTGGAACCCCGCCCAGGGCCCCGCTGAGGGAGGCACAGGCACAGTCCTACCGACTCCTGCCTGGCAGCTGGAGGAGCCCAGGTTCCAGCACAAAGGAGTCTGTGGACAGGCAGGGGCAGAATCCTGGAGGGAGCGCCTGAGCCACCATCCCATGTGGCAGCTGCTGGCGTAGCAGTGCCTCGGGCTGGCATCGTTTTGGAAGCAAGTGGGTTCAGTGAAGTGTGTTGCCACGAATAGCACCCGCTGCTTTTGGCTTTATTAACGTGGCAAGGAGAAATTCAAAATTAAGTATGTCTCGAATTCTGTTTGTGGCAGATGGTGCGGCTCTGGAGCTCAGCCCTCGGCGGCCTGATTCCCAGGGGTCCAAGCCACCCTCATTCTCTGAGTCAGGGTTGGGCAGCCACTTGTGTCCTGAGAAGGTGCCAGAAGGCCTGAAGCCCAGGCAAGGGGAACGGGCAGTGCCTGTGCCTCGGGGGTACCTCCAGCATGGCCTGGAGCACATCCAGCCATCCCCTTCCCCCAAACTCCAGCCCTTCTCAGAGGGGCTCTGGGGGTCATTCAAGGGGGACTTCTAGCTTCTCTCTGGAACCCTTTGTCCAGAGCAAAGCCAGGTTTCCAAGGTCCCCACGGCAAGGCTGTTGGGTGCTGGCAGCAAGAGGTACACAGCAGTTCTCCCAGCTCACAGCAGTGACCTCAGATCTCCAGCAGCAAGGGCCGCACTCTCGTGCCCACAAGGGCCTTGCAGAAATGCTCCGGTCCCTGGGCCTCCCCCGGCAGGAGGGGCGGGGCTCCTGCCTGCAGTGAGGCCACAGCACTAAGCGGCTTCAGTCACATGCTTTTCAGGTGAATCACTCCAAATTCAGTGAGGAGGGCCACGACAAGGAAGTTCAGGTAGAAGAGGAGCAGGCAGAAGCCATAGACTCTGCTGAGCTGGAAGCACTGCAATGGGACTGAGACCAGGGAGAAGACGAGGCTGAGCCCCAGGGCGCCTGCCAGGACCCACACCAGCAGTCCGTCTGGCTCCAGCTGTGGAAGAATGAGGGGAGAGAGGCTGAGTCACTGCCCGTCACAGGCCCCGCCCCGTCTGTGGCCAACACAACAATGCAGCCTCAACAACAATGCAGCCTCAACAACAATGCAGCCTCAGCAACAATGCAGCCTCAGCAACAATGCAGCCTCAACAACAATCCAGCCTCAACAACAATGCACCCTCAACAACAATGCACCCTCAACAACAATGCAATCTCAGCCGAGCACAGTGGCTCATGCCTGTAATTCCAGCACTTTGGGAGGCTGAGGCAGGTGGATCACCTGAGGTCAGGAGTTCGACCTGTATTGGCCAGGAGTTCGAGACCACTGGCCAATACAGTGAAACCCTGTATCTACTAAAAATACAAAAATTAGCCAGACATGGCAGTGTGCTACTGGGGAGGCTGAGGCAGGAGAATCACTTGAACTCAGGAGGCGGAGGTTGCAGTAAGCCGACATCGTGCTACTGCACTCCAGCTTGGGTGATGGAGTAAGACTCTGTCTCAAAAAATAAATAAAATAACAACAACAACAACAACAACAATGCAGCCTCAACAGTGTTTGAGGGCACCAGCTGGGGGCCACTTAAGGAAGACTGGCCTGCAGCAGCCCGGCCTGCCCTGTGGGATGGCATGCCCCACCCTGAAGTTACCCAGACGTGGCCCCAGAAGTTTCCAGACGCAGAAACAGCAGGGAAAAGGAACCTTCTCTTCCAACTTCAGCCAGGTCCACCTGCCTGGGTGCCTCTCCCCTGCCTCGAGTCAGATGTCATTATAATTCCCTCTGTTTTTAATGCTGAACTCTAGTCAACGACATGCACAAGCGGATGTTCACCACTTACTGTGAAATGCATCAAGAAACAATATGGATGCGTTAGGCCGGGCAGGGTGGCTCAGGCCTGTAATCCCAACACTTTGGGAGGCCAAAGCGGGCAGATCACTTGAAGTTAGGAGTTCGAGACCAGCCTGACCAACATGGTGAAACCCCGTCTCTATTAAAAATACCAAAATTAGCCAGGTGTGGTAGCACATGCCTGTAATCCCAGCTACTCGGGAGGCTGAGGCAGGAGAATCACTTGAACCTGGGAGGTGGAGGCTGCAGCGAGCCAAGATTGCACCACTGCACTCCAGCCTGGGTGACAGAGCAAAACTCCATCTCAAAAAACAAAAGAAGAAAAAAGAAAAGAATAGATGGAGGCATGGACAGACAGGCATGGACAAACAGACAACAAAGCAAAGGCAGCCAAACATAAACAGTAGAGTCTGGGTGGTGGGAATATGTGTGTCTATCATACAAGTCTTTTAACTGTTCTATGTTTGAGTTTTCATAATAAAATGGAAAAAATCTTTATAAGGCTTTTTTTTTTTTTTTTTTTTGACATGGAGTCTCACTCTTGTTGCCCAGGCTGGAGTGCAATGGCGTGATCTCAGCTCACAGCAACCTCTACCTCCCAAGTTCAAGTGATTCTCCTGCCTCAGCCTCCCGAGTAGCTGGGATTACAGGTGTCTGCCACCACGCCTGGCTAATTTTTTTGTATTTTTAGTAGAGATGGAGTTTCACCATGTTGGCCAGACTGTTCTCGAACTCCTGACCTCAAGTGATCTGCCCACCATGGCCTCCCAAAGTGCTGGGATTACATGTGTGAACCACCGCACCCAGCCCATAAGGTTTTTGAAGAAATGGCAGCTATAAGTATCTACTGAGTGCCTGCTCTATGCCAGGCATTGTGCGAAGGGCCTAACAGGCACTGTCGTCTTTGATCTAACAATAGTCTTGTATGGTGGGTACTAGGATGGACTCCATTTTACAGATGAGGAAACCAAGACCCTTAGACTTGACTGACTTGTCCAAGGTGCTCAGCAGCACTGGGCCTGGCACCTCTGCCTGACTCTGAACTTGGGAGGATGCCGCCTTCTGGGTGAAGGAGGGGATGGATGAATGATAAAGGAGTGGCAGCAGCAGAAATGAATGAGCGAGAGCCAAAGTGTCAGGCACAAGACAGGCTCCTCTGCGGGAGGAGGAGCTGACAGCAACTCCCGTTCTCTAGAACTGGGGAGGAGCCTGCAGATTTCAGCTGCAGGTTTTTATATGTGTAGTAGGATAAGTAGTGCCCCACCCCCAACAAATTCACGCCCATCCGGAAGCTCAGCATGTGGCCTTACCTGAAATAGGGTCTTTGCAAATATAATAAGCTAAGGGTTTCAAGATACAATCATCTTGGACTTAGGGTGGCCCCTAAATCCAATGACTCATGTCTCCGTAAGAAGAAGAGAGAGATGGCCATGGGAACACAGAGGCAGAGACTGCAGAGATGGGCCCACTGGGCAAGGAACGTCAGGAGCCAACAGCAGCTGGAAGAGGTGAGGAAGGATCCTCCTCTGGAGCTTGGAGGTGGCACTGCCCGGCTGATGCCCTGATTGCAGGCTTTTGGCTTCCAGAACTGGGAGAGACTCAATTTCTGCTGTTGTCAGCCCCCTGGTTTGTGGTCAGTTATGGCAGCACTAGGGAACTAACACTATCTATGGTATACATGTCACACATGGTTGCTGACATATTTTCAAGCAGTACAGAAGAGTAAAAGGGACTGAAATGTCCCCTCCCCGCTTCTCTTCCTTCCACACTTAGCAGGTATATCCAACACGCAGTGAAGACATGAGGTACCGTGTGGGCTGTTTCTAGGCACCGTGGCGTTTCGTCTTCCCAGCCACCTGCATCCTCCTCGTCTCCAACCCACAGATGAAGAAACTGACAGAGTAAGTGACAGAGCCCAAATCCAAGTGCAAGCTCTTAACCAATGCCTATCCTCCTCCCCATGGGATGCCATATTACACACGCCTGTGGACACACACACCTCTAGACATGTACATCAATTCTGAAAACAGAGATGGGACCGTACAATAGGTAAGTGTTTCAAAGCGACTTGTGGTTTTCAACCAACGGTACACCATGGACATCCTTCCATGTTGATGTCTCATGCCATTTAACGGCAGGAGCGTTTCCTAAACTCAGCACAAAGGTGGTAGACACACGCGCACACACACACACACATTTCCTAAACTCAGCACAAAGGTGGTAGACACACACACACACACGTACACACACACACACACTTCCTAAACTCAGCACAAAGGCGGTGGACACACACACACACACACACACACACACGCGCGCGCACAGGAGAAAAGAGGAAATAGGTCCCCTGAGGAGCCAACCCTAAAGCCTCATTACCTGGAACTACCCTAGAATCTATCATGAAAGGGAACCTATTAAACCCATAAAGAGGGACAACAAAGTTTGCAGAGGGTGTTTACCTTTCAGAAAAGAAAATTTCAAGCCCTAAGTAGCTGTTTGCTTGTGGGCATGGCCAGTGTGAAAGAAACACCCTGCCCCCGGCTAACAGGCTCTGCCGAGAGCCTATTCAACAACTCGTGCCTCTGGGAGAAACGGGTGACTTTATTCAGCTTCATAACACTCAAAGAGCTTTCCCATGGCGAGGCTTAAAACCAACCCCCAGGCCATCTCTTCCTCCCCAGCCTACGTCTTCCTTGCTGAGTCTCTGGACTCAAGTCCTCCAGAATAGAGATGCAGGGATGGGACTGCCAGCGGCTCAGGGGTCCAATCTGCCTCATATGCACAGGGTTTTGTTTGCATGTGAGGCAGATTTTCGAATAGAAAAAAATTCACTTAGGAATCTTGATTTCTTCTCTAGAGGACCTGGAATATCTGGCCACATGCTACCTACCCAAATCACCCACACATCTCTGTCACCTCCCCTGTGGGCAGTGCTGGGATATGGTGCTCAGTCTGGCCCTTCCGCTGCGTGCTTATCCAGGAAGCTCAGCTGGTGTCATCAATCTCATTTTATAGGGGAGGAAATTGAGGCCCAGAGATGTCCTAACTCCATTTTTTCCCTTTTTTTCTGAGATGAAGTCTCACTCTGTCGCCCAGGCTGGAGTGCAGTGGCGCAATCTTGGCTCACTGTGACCTCCACCTCTTGGGTTCAAGTGATTCCCCTGCCTCAGCCTCCCAAGTAGCTGAGATTACAGGTGTGCACCACCACACCTGACTAATTTTTGTATTTTTAGTAGAGATGGGGTTTCACCACGTTGGCCAGGCTGGTCTCGAACTCCTGACCTCAAGTGATCCTCTGCCTCAGTCTCCCAAAGTGCTGGGATTACAGGCATGAGCTACCACACCCGGCCAAGATGTCCTAGCTCACTCAAAGTCATACAGCCAGGGACTTAAGTGATGGGACCCAGATCCAAAGCCAGGGCCTTCCTGCCCCTTCCCCATCAAGCTACATCTTGGTTATATACACTTGTAAACTTACAAGGAATACTCACCTTCACTTCTGTGTGGCTTCGGGAGATCTGGAGCAGGCAGCCCAGCCCCACACCCACGAGGATGTCTGCAGCCCAGCTCAGGAAGCTTTGCTGGAATGGCCTGCACATAACCCAACCACATAGCCCGTTCCTCCTACTGTGTTCATCCCCAGGGCTTGGGATGCCACTGCAAGAATGAACTTGGGCCAGGCGCAGTGGCTCATGCCTGTAATCCCAGCACTTTGGGAGGCCAAGGCAGGAGGATCACTAGAGGCCAGGAGTTTGAGACCAGCCTTGGCAACAGAGTGAGACCCGTCTCAAAAAAAAAATTTGGTGGGGGTTGGAGGTAGAGAAGTGCAGTGGTGTGAACACGGCTCACTGCAGCCTCGACCTCCTAGGCTTTGTGATTCTCCCACCTCAACCTCCCAAGTAGCTGGGATCACAGGCATATGCCACCACACCTGGCTAATTTTTTAATTTTTCTGTAGAGACAGGGTCTTGCTGTGTTGCCCAGGCAAATCTCAAATCACTGGACTCAAGTGATTCTCGTGCCTCAGGCTCCCAAAGTGCTGAGATTACAGGTATGAACCACTGTGCCCAGACTTACAAAAAAAAATGAATTTACTTGGCTTTCTTTATGATGTATGCCCAACTCCCCCAAACACCATATCTGAGGAGACCCTATCTTTTTAGGCCTTTAAGAAGATGGGTGCTGAGTAAGTGTTGCAGTCAGTCTCTAAGGATCGAACACCTTAGGGTGCCAGGAATGCTTGGCGCATGTAAGCACTCAGTAGGTGGGGAAACCGAGGCCAGGAGAGATGAAGGGACTGCCCCCAGTCCCTAGAGGGAACTGGTGATAGTGTGTGGGCCGAGGCCATCTCTAGGGGTCGTTCAGGGCTCCCTCCTTCCCAGCCAACCTGGGAGGTCAGGCGAGGCTGCAGCCCGAAAGCCAGGAGTAGGCCTCAGTGGGCGCAAAAGGGCCACCAAGGGCCTTGCTCAGCCTGGGAGTTAAAAGGGCAGGCATCACTGTCTCCGCAGTTAGCCTGTTTTGCCGGCCAACTGCTCACACTGCAGCCCCTGGTGAGGCTCTGTCATCGTGGAGCCTGGAGAGAGCGGCCCTTCAGGCACTTTGTGATCATCTTTCTTTCTTTAGCAGCCAACAGTATCCACTGCTGGCCGAATGCCTGCCGTGCGCCAGGCACTGTCTGGAACCCACAACCATCTGGTTTCAAAGCTCTTTCTCTTCATAGCCCCAGGCTGGCTATATCCGTCTTTTCTATATAGACCAAAAGTTGGCAAACATCAGCCCTCCGGCCAAATTTGGCCCACTAACTGCTTTTATAAATAAAGTTTTATTGGAACAGAGCCATGGCCATTCACTTATGCACTGTCTGTGCCTGTTTCTGCACTATAGCAGCAGAGTTGAGTAGCTGCAAAACCGCCTGCATGGCCCCCAAAGTCTAAAATATTTATTCTTTGGGCCAGGTGTGGTGGCTCACGCCTGTAATCCCAGCACTTGGAGGCTGAGGCTGGCAGATCACTTGAGGTCAGGAGTTTGAGAACAGCCTGGCCAACATAGTGAAACCCTGTCTCTACTAAAAATACAAAAATTAGCTGGGCGTGGTCGTGGGCGCCTGTAGTCCCAGCTACTCAGAAGACTGAGGCAGGAGAATTGCTTGAACCCGGAAGGCAGAAATTGCAGTGAGCCAAGATCACGCCACCGCACTCCAGCCTGGGCAACCGAGCCAGACTCCGTCCCCACCCTGCAAAAAAAAAAAAAAAAAAAAAAAAAAAAGAATTCTCTGGCCCTTTTAGAAAAAGTCTGCCAACCCTAACATAGACCATGACATGTCGCTATGAGCAAGAGAGAGAGGGTCTTCCATAGGACACATAAGCTCATCCTATGGGCACCTGCTTATCACACCACTCACTGTCCTAACAATAATAGCTGCTGTCTGCTGAGCCCTTACCAGGGGCCAAGAATTTCATTCACCTCACTGGATCCTTACAACACCACTTGGAGGTTAGCACTCCCCAAATCCCTATTTTAAAGCCTTGGAGCCTGAGGCTCAGGCAGCCACATTACCTGCCCCAGGTGTTACACCGAGAACCAATCCCCAGGGTGGGGCATGGAGCACACCCCACCCACGGCTGTGACACCAGTGCTAAGGCCAAGAACAGACCACAAAGGATACTGAAGATGATGCCGCCAAAGCAGGCGGAGAACGCCATCCGTGGGTAGCCCTGGCGAGCCAGTGTGAAATCCGAGAAGGCATCTGCACAGGAACAAGAGGGGCCTGCAGTGGTGAGTCGCTTCCCCCACCCTCCCTGGTCATCCACGCCTTCATTCTCACCCACGGTCATTCAGGCAACAAACACAGATGGATGCCCAAGTGTGCCTGGGCACTAGCTGGTGGGGTGCTGTGTGAGGGGGCACAGCATCTGGGAAGACACACTTCCCTCCTTAATTCCTTTACCCCACTCTTTCACACCAGGAACAACTTTGCAGGTGTGAAAAACGCGGCTACCAGCTGGGCACAGTGGCTCACACCTGTAATCCCAGCACTTTGGGAGGCCAAGATAGATGGATCACCTGAGGTCAGGAGTTCGAGACCAGCCTGGCCAACATGATGAAACCTTGTCTCTATTAAAAATACAAAAATTAGCTGGGCATGGTAGTGGGCGCCTGTAATCCCAGCTACTCGGGAGGCTGAGGCAGGAGAACTGCTTAAACCTGGGAGGCAGAGGTTGCAGTGAGCCAAGATCACACCATTGCACTCCAGCCTGGGCGACAGAGCAAGCCTCCATCTCAAAAAAAAAAAAAAAAAAAAAAAAAAAAAAAAAAAAAAAAACTACGGCTACCAATTTTTCAAAGTCTCATCTGCTGGTAACATGCACAGCACCTCCACATGAATAAGAAGAAGGTGCTCAAAAAGGTAAGTGGAAGGAGGGGCTAGATTTCAGCTCCCTCATCCTCTTGTCTGGATGCTCTGGAGCAGTGCATAACCTGGCCAACCACACCTGGCTGCTACAGCTAGGGAAGGGTGTATGTATGTAAGTGTGAATGCCTGCATGTCACACACCCGTGTACACATCAAGCACGGCCGGCTGCAATGGGCTCCATGTCCTGCCTGAACTCTGGGAGCCACCGACCATCCCCGCATCAGAGGGTGGGGAAGAGGCAGGGGCCTCTATAGAGTTTCTTGGTCCAACTGCAGTCAGGGCCATCTCACCCCAATGCTGGCCACTCCACAGTGACAGGGGACACTGCACAGGTGCAGAGGGCAGACACCCTGGACACTCCTGCCCAGATGCGACTCTGGCTGGGGGAGGAAAGAGCTAAGATGTGGCCGCACTCACCCCCACTCAACCCCACCCAGCCCTGAGTCACCTCCAATGCTGTTCCCCCAGGCCAGCAGCGTGAGCCCCAGCACAGTGTTGCTCAGCCGGAAGACCACACCCAGGGACCGCAAGATGTTCACCACCTCTGTGGCGGCCGCGTTGATCCACAGGGCGCTGGTCAGAAAGCCCAGGAAAGCAAAGAGCTGCGGAGGGAATGGTTTGCTGTGGGACCAAGGCCAGCCCCAACAGGAACACAGCCTCAGTTCCTCACCTGTGAAACGGGATGATAACAGTATCTACCTCATGAGCTTATTATGAGTATAAAACACGTTACTATATGCATTGGTGCCTGTGCAAAGTTAGTGCTCAATAAAACGTGAGTTCAATATTATTTTCTTTTTTCCTTAATAAACTCCCTTTCAGGCCGGGCACGGTGGCTCACCGCCTGTAATCGCAGCACTTTGGGAGGCCGAGGCGGGCAGATCACCTGAGGTCAGGAGTTCGAGACCAACTTGGCCAACATGGTGAAACCTTGTCTCTACTAAAAATACAAAAATTAGTCAGGCTGGTGTCACACACCTGTAATCCCAGCTACTCGAGAGGCTGAGGTGGGAGAATCGCTTGAACCCGGGAGGCAGAAGTTGCAGTGAGCCTAGATCATGCCAGTGTACTCTAGCCTGGGCGACTGAGTGAGACTCTGTCTCGAAAAAAGAAAAAAAATAAAAACAAAAAAACCTCCCTTTCATATACTAAAAAAAAATATTATTTTGTCTGGAAAGGGTTCCTTATCACTTTCATCAGATTTCCAGTCTATGAACCAAATACCACCCATCATCCCAATAAGTATCCCTGTACTCATTAGCGGTCACTCCCTAGCCCCACCCCACCAGCCCAACTCGACCACTACTCTGCTCTCTGTCTCTCTGAATGTGCCTCGTGGACATTTCACATCAATGGAATGCCACAGTGTGTGATCCTCTGCTACAGTCTTCTCTCACTCAGCATCATGTTTTCAAGGGTGATCCATGTTGTGGCACACGTCGGTACTTGAAAAAACAGTGAAAGACAATTTTCCCTAAGTAGTAAAAGGCAACTTCCCTAAATGATCCATTTGCTGAAAATTCAACACCCTTCGGTTGGTACATTCATTGAGTTTCCAAAAGTAAAAACTAAAATTTTAAAAAATCATTAAGCACTAAACAATGAAAATTTTAAGTAAACTTTTTTTTTAGGACGATGTCTCACTCTGTTGCCCAGGCTGGAATGCAGTGGCGCGATCTCAGCACACTGCAACCTCTGCCTCCTGGGTTCAAGCGATTCTCCTGCCTCAGCCACCCAAGGAGCTGGGATTACAGGTGCCCGCCACCATGCCTGGCTAATTTTTGTATTTTTTAGTAGAGACAGGGTTTCGACATGTTGGCCAGACTGGTCTCAAACTCCTGACCTCAGGTGATCCACCCGTCTCGGCCTCTCAAAGTGTTGGGATTACAGGCGTGAGCCACCACGCCCAGCCAAAATGAAAATATTAAGTAAACTTTTTTTTTTTTTTGAAACGGAGTCTCTGTCACCCAGGCTGAAGTGCCATGATGCGATCTCATCTCACTGCAACCTCTGCCTCCTGGGTTCAAGCAATTCTCCAGCCTCAGCCTCCCGAGTAGCTGAGATTACAGGTGCCCGCCACCACGCCCAGCTAATTTAAGTAAACTTTTAAGGAAAAAGTCTCTGGACAAACCCCTAAATATTCTTTAGAGTGCCTAGACTAGGGAAAATGGAAAAAGACACCCACAAAGGCCATCCCATTCTATCCCTGGAGTGTCTTTAGAAACCCAAGGCTGGGCACAGTGCCTCATGCCTGGAATCCTGGCACTTTGGGAAGCCGAGGCAGGAGGATTGCTTGAGGCCAGGAGTTTGAGAGTAGTCTGGGCAACATAGTGAGACCTCATCTTTACAAAAAACATACAAAAATTAGCTGGGCGTGGTGGCTTGCGCCTGTAGTCCCATCTACTTGGGGGGCTGAGGTGGGAGGATGGCTTCAGCCCAGGAGGTCGAGGCTGCAGTGAGCTATGACTGTACCACTGCACTCTAGCCTGGACAGCAGAGGGAGACCCTGTCTCAAAAAAAAGGAAATCACATATTGTAGGATTCTATTTATATAAAATGTCCATGATAGGCAAACCCATAGAGACGCGGAGTAGAGTCGTGGTTGCCAGGGGCTATGTGGGGGGTGGGGAAATGGGGAGTGACTTATGGGCATGAGGTCTCTTTTTGGGGTGATGAAATTCTCTAAAATTGATTGTGATGATTCCACAACTCTGTAACTATAATAAAAAACATTAAATTGTATACTTTAAATGGGTAAATTGTATGGTATGTGAATTACATCTCAACAAAATTAAGCTATTACCAAAAAAAAAAAGAAAAAAACCCTGTATAGATACAAACACTCTCAAAAGCAGCTTTAAAGTTCGGTTACCTGTCTTTGTGTGACTCCTGATCAAACTGGTCAAAGTGCCTCAGAGATGCAGACAGGACATCTGTGTGGGAGACATCAGCATCCCTCCCCCCCCATCTCGGAGAACCCGGGCTTCTTACCCAGTGAAGCCTGGGGGGCTGGCTGTCAGATGTGGCAAAAAAGGTCACTGAAGCCAAGGCTGTGCCTGCGATCACCACCACGACCCAGACGGGAACGAGGCCGCCTATCTCATAGACACCATCTGCAAAGGGAGAGAAAGGGAGCTGATACCTTCCCAGCACCTCAACACCCACTTACAATGGACTATTTGGATGTCAGGTAGACACTTCCTATCTGCCCAGCCCTGTCCTAGACACTTCATGGGGGCAGAAAAATTTAAAATGCAGCCCCTGCCCTCAAGTTAGTCACATTTGAAAGAAAAAGAGAGACACACAAAAAAGACTCTCTCCAGCCTGTTGCTGTGGAACTAGGATAGGAATGGCTATAACCACTAACACCACCACCCTCTTCCACCTTCATGGCAGACATCACTAATCAAGCACAATACTTCCATCCAACTGCATTTCCAGGCAGCTCCCTCCAGCCAGGCATTACCAGTAGATGGCATCGCTCCATGAGATGAACCTGACAGTCAAACCCAGCCTCTTCACTGAGAGGTACCCAAATAAGTCCACTCTCCATTAACAAATATGAAGGTTCCAGAGGCTTCATATTAAACACCAAAGGGAGACACCCTAAGGTGAGAACACTCTAGAATTCTCCACACATCACCCTTTTCACCACTAGGAGTTGGTACTGGTCTTAAAGACGATGAATAGTTCAAATGTTCATATACCTGCATCAAGACCCTTCTTTTGTTCTTTTTTTAGTCTAGCTCATGGCTCCCAAATGACAGGGGGCTTAAGAATTATGTGAGGAGGCCGGGTGTGGTGACTCATGCCTATAATGCCGGCACTTTGGGAGGCCACAGCGTGCAGATCGCTTGAGCCCAGGAGTTCGAAACCAGCCTGGGCAACATGGTGCAACCCCATCTCTACAAAAAATACAAAAATTAGGCCGGGCACGGTGGCTCACACCTGTAATCCCAGCACTTGGGGAAGCTGAGGCGGGTGGATCACCTGAGGTCTGGAGTTCGGGACAAACCTGGCCAAGGGGCGAAACCCCGTCTCTACTAAAAATATAAAAATTAGCCGGGGGTGGTGGCACACACCTGTAGTCCCAGCTACTCAGGAGGCTAAGGCAGGAGAATCACTTGAACTCAGGAGGTGGAGGTTGCAGTGAGCTGAGATCGCACCACTGCACTCCAGCTTAGGTGACAGAGCAAGACTCCATCTCAAAAAAAAAAACAAAAACAAATTAGCTGGGCGTGGTGGTGGGCACCTGTCGTCCCAGCTACTTGGGAGGCTGAAGTGGGAGGATCACTTGAGTCCCGGGAGGTGGCGGTTGCAGTGAACCTAAATTGCATCACTGTACTCCAGCCTGGGCAACAGAGTGAGATCTTGTCTCAAAAAAAAAAATTATGTGAGTGGGCTGAATACACAAAATTGTGTACACAATATGTTATGAGTGATTGTCAAGGGGGATTTTTTTTTTTTTTTTTTTTTTTTTAGACAGGGTCTCGATGTATCAACCAGGCTGGAGTGCACTGACACAATCACAGCTCACTGCAGCCTCAAACTCCTGGGCTCAAGCCATCCTCCCACCTCAGCTTCCTGAGTAGTTGGGACTGTAGGTGTGTGCCACTGTGCCCAGCTCCTGAGATAATTTTGCCAGCATGGGGTTTTTACCTACAGTGCCAGCTTTGGATCCAGACACCTGGGCTGGAAGTCCTTTCCATGTATTTGCCACTCCTGTGCTAGAGAAATTTTAGGAGGTGGCTGGGGCGTGAAGACACTGAGGATCTGAGCTGAGTGTTAAGCAGAGAGGGGTGCAAGGGCTCTGTGGGAAGAGGGGAGTTGGGTAAGATGGAATCAAGCAGATCAGGAATAGCACAGAAAAGGCTGTAGGAGGCAGTTGGCTCAGAGTCTCAGAGGCCTTGGCTGGGTGCGGTGGCTCACACCTATAATCCCAGCACTTTGGGAGGCTGAGGCAGGAGGATCGCCTGAGGTCAGGAGTTCAAGACCAGCCTGGCCAACATGGTGAAACCTCATCAGTACTAAAAATACAAAAATTAGCCAGGTGTGGTGGCACGCACCTGTAATCCCAGCTACTTGGGAGACTGAGGCAGGAGAATCATTTGAACCTGGGAGGCAGCGAGTACAGTGGGCCAAGATCACACCACTGAGCAATGACAGCCATGGACTTTTCCCAAGAAGTACTGGGGAGCCATGGAGGTCTTTGAGTGGGGGAGTGACCACAACATATGAAAAGCAGCACTTTATAAAGATGGCTCTTGGGGGACGCCTAGAGATGGGGGAGGCTGGAGGCTGCTGCTCGGGAGGCTCACCTTGAGTCACAGCACCCCTTCAGGCTGGGAGCCAGTCCAGGGGTTTTCTCTAGACAGTGCTCAGCCCAGACGGGGGTCAAGAGTGCTTTAGCCAGAACCAGTCTTTCCCCAGGGTGGACCTGCTACCACTAGGTGGTGTTAACGCCATGTGGTGAAGATACTACATGCTGCAGAACCGTGACTCAGGAAAGGGATTCCTTCTTCAGTTCTATCATTGTATCAAGGAGAAAGTTTCCATTTGGTGCTAATAGGACTTGAACATCTCAAATACCTGCTCTTCTCCCTAGTACAGGCTTCCAGCTCATGGGCTTGACTTAGGAGGACCGAGTAAGGTGGTTTACTTTTTTTTTTCTTTTCTATTTTGAGACAGAGTCTCACTCTGTCGCCCAGGCTGGAGTGCAGGGGTGCAATCTCGGCTCACTGCAGCCTCTGCCTCCTGGGTTCAAGTGATTCTCCTGTCTTACCCTCCCAAGTACCTGGGATTACAGACACCCATCACCATACCTGGCTAGTTTTTGTATTTTTAATAGAGACGAGGTTTCATTGTGTTGGCCAGGCTGATCTCGAACTCCTGACCTCAAGTGATCCTACTGCCTCAGCGTCCCAAAGTGCTGGGATTACAGGCGTGAGCCACCATCGCTGGTCGGTGGTTTACTTTTATTGTGTTTATTTTTGCAGTTACCTTAAATTTATTGGAAATGATGCAATTCTACTACAGTTTCCTATTGATGCAGGTGACACGGTTTCCTTTTCAACAAATTTGCCTTAAAAAAAAAAAAAAAGTCTGAAGCTGGGTACAGTAGTGCATGCCTGTAGTCCCAGCTACTCAATGGAGCCCAGAAGTTCAGGACCAGCCTGGACAATACAACGAGCTGATTTAAGAAAAATATCAAATGTGGCCAGGCGCAGTGGCTCATGCTTATAATCTCAGCACTCTGGGGGAGCCGAGGTGGGTGGATCACCTGAGGTCAAGAGTTTGAGACCAGCCTGGCCGACATAGTGAAACCCCGCCTCTACTAAAAATATAAAAATTGGCCGGGCATGGTGGCGGGTGCCTGTAGTCCCAACTACTCAGAAGGCTGAGGCAGGAGAATTGCTTACCCTAGAGGTGGAGGTTGCAGTGAGCCGAGATCGTGCCACTGCACTCCAGCGTGGGTGACAGAGTGAGAGTCTGTCTCAAGAAAAACAAAGAAAAATATCAAATGTAATAGTATAGAGTAAGAGCAAAATTGAGAAGATGGTCTGTGAATGACTGATGTGTGGGAATCACTCTTTTAAGAAGCCACAACAAATACAAAAATTAGCCAAGCATGGTGGCAGGTGCCTGTAATCCCAGCTACTCGGGAGGCTGAGGCAGGAGAATCACTTGAGCCCTGGAGGCAGAGGTTGCAGTGAGCTGAGATCATGCCACTGTACTCGGGTCTGGGTGACAGTCAGACTACGTCTCAAAATAAAATAAAATAAAAATAAATAAATAAATAAATAAAGATGCCACAACGCTTGTGAAAGCAAGTCCCTGGATTTGCCCTGGCCTGAAAGGCAAGGCTTCCCCGCTCCGTAGAGAATGGATGGAGAATGGAGGGCTGTGATGAACCAGACGGCCCTAGTGGGTGGCCCTTTTCAGCTCTGAGTCACTCTCTATCAATCATCTCTCCTCCTATCTCCTTCCCTCCATGTCTGCATCCTCCCACAAACCGGGGGAGAAATTCACAGGGAATGTGGCAAGGAGGCTGTTTCATCCCGATGGAGTTTCATCCCGACACTGTTACAGCACACAACACCATGCCCAGCCATGCATCTGCACCAGAGTCCTACCCCCACCTCCAGGCGAAGCCCCTGGGCTGAGGGGGAGGAGCCTAGATGATAGGAAACAGACAGCATGAGATACTAAAGTTAGACAACAGGAAGAAATCTGGGTAGCAGAAGTTAGAAGACGTTGGACAAGCCTGGGCGTTTCCTCAGCCAGAGCAGGACAAGAAAGAAAAGGACATTCTGGGGCAGATGGGGAAAATTCAAATGCCAGTGGGGACCAGCCAGGTCACATAAACGAGGGAAGGGGCACCCAACAGGCAATGGAGGGGACTGTGATGATTTAGGCCACAGGCACCCCATAGGGGGTGCCCCTTCTCTGCTCCAGCCAGTTTTGCCTTCAGGAATGTGGCCCAGATCTTGAGAAGCCAAAATCCAGATTTTAAGATAAAATCCCCCAATTTTTAAATGCAGGCAAACAAGCTAGAGGGCTGGATTTGGCCCTGGGGTCACCTGTTTTGCAGCCTCCATCTGGGGCCAGCAAGATTGGATCAACTGACTGCAGGAGGTCCCCTGGGTGAACTTCCAGGCTGGTGTCCCTTATGGCACAAGCGCATAGTAAGCGCCTGCTGTATATCCAGGTTTCTGCCTCTAGCCCAAACCTCCCTCACGTGGTTGAGAAGAAAACTCCACTGGCTGTGCACGGTGGCTCACGCCTGTAATCCCAGCACTTTGGAAGGCCAAGATGGGCGGATCACTTGAGGTCAGGAATTTAAGACCAGCCTGGCCAACATGGTGAAACCCCGTCTCTGTGAAAAATACAAAAATTAGCTGGGCGTGGTAGTGCACGCCTGTAATCCCAGCTGCCCAGGGGGCTTAGATGGGATGATTGCTTGAACCCGAGAGGTGGAGGGAGGTTGCAGTGAGCTGAGATCGTGCCACTGTACTCCAGCCTGGGTGGAAGAAAACTCCAGAACGTGGGAAGGAGTAGGAAGGTGGGTTGGCCCGGGGTAGGGGATACTCACAGGTCCCCGACTGCAGGGTCAGGACCACAACCAGGGGGCTGATAACCAGATGCAGACAGTTGAGGGGCCGTTTCCAGTTCTGGTCATCCTTGTCCGGGTCCACGACGGGGACTGTGAGGAGCAGCAGGAACTCCACAGGCAGCTGTCAAGGGGGCAAAAGTGGGAGGGTGTCGGCAGGGAAGTCTGAATCCCAGCCGGCCACAGATGGACTTCAGTGACTCAAGAGCTCGGCCGTTCATTGCTGAAGCACTGACTGTGTGCGGGTTCCAGGCTAAGTGCCTGGTTGCCTCTGGCTACTGGGACAAATGACCACAAACAGTGACTGTCAATAGCACAGATGTATTCTTGGACAGTTCTGGAGGGCAGAAGTCCTGAAGTCAAGTTGTCAGCAGGGTTGTTCCTTCTGGAAGCTCTAGGGGAGACTGAGGGTCCTTCCAGCTTCCAGGAGCCACCTGCCTTCCAGGCCCCACATCATTCCACCCTGTGCTCCTGTCGCCACTTCTCAGTCTCTGACTCTGACCCTCCTGCCTCCCTCTTTCCTTGTGCCAACCCCTGTGATGACACTGGGCCCACTGGATAAGCCAGGCTCATCTCAGATCTTTAATGATGGCTGGATGCGGTGGCTCACGCCTGTAATCCCAGCACTTTAGGAGGCCGAGGCGGGCGGATCACGAGGTCAGGAGATTGAGACCATCCTGGCTAACACGGTGAAACCCCGTCTCTACTAAAAATACAAAAAATTAGCCAGGCGTGGTGGCGGGCGCCTATAGTCCCAGCTACTCAGGAGGCTGAGGCAGGAGAATGGCGTGAACCCGGGAGGTGGAGCTTGCAGTGAGCCGAGACCGCGCCACTGCACACTCCAGCCTGGGCAATAGAGCGAAACTCTGTCTCAAAAAAAAAAAAAAGATCTTTAATCACATCTGCAAAGGCCCTTCTACCATAAAGGTAACATACTCCCAGGTTCCAGGGGTTAGGATATGGATGTCTTTAGGGGCCACTAGAGGGCAGAGCCCCAGGTCAAGCCATCAGCCAAGCTCCACGCCTCAGTTTCCCCATCAAATCACAAGTCATGTATTCTGAGAGGGTCTCAGTGGACCCCAGGCCCTCCCCCTCGTAGAGCTGGAGAGGGTAGCGTGGCCACTGTCTTGCTGCTGTCAGAAGGCTGTGAGCCTGGCTCCAGGACCCTCCTACCTTGAACACCTTGAGGGCTTTCCAGTATGCTGATTTCCTTCTCCACTTCATGTAATCCAGGGGATTGAGGGCCCGGACCAGGATCTGAGCCGTGGTCTCCTGGTAGAAGAACAGCGGCCGGTACTCATCACCTGTGTGCAGGGGTCGGGTGGTGAGGTGTGCCTGCGGCTGACTTGCTCTCCAGGAAACCTTCCCCGCTCCATCCCACCAGTCCTCCCAGCCCTAAAGGAGGAGACAAAGCCCAGTACTCGGCAGAGGGCAGACAACCCTGGCCCTTGGCTCACCTGAGCTGCAGTGAGAGGTGGGGCCGATTTGGAGCCTCATTCCTGGAGCCCAGGTCTTGGAGGGCCCCATCTTTCCACCCCCAGCCTTTCCCTGTTACCGCCACCCTGGCTGGGCACAGGGCACGGACTCACCGTAGTCATAGCTGTTGGTATTAGAAGATACCCGGTCCTCCTCGGAGTCTGAGAGGATCTCTGCAGGAGAGAGGCCCAGTTACATACAGAACCCAGACCATTTTCGAGGGGGCACACTGGGACAGAGCAGGTTTAGGGGTGCAAGTGTTCAGGCCATCTTATTTACTTAGTTATTTGGGACAGGATCTTTCTCTGTCACCCAGGCTGGAGTGCAGAGGTGTGATCACAGCTCACTGCAGCCTAGACCTCCTGGGCTCACTCAATCCTCCCACCTCAACCTCCCTCCCTCCCGAGTAGCTGAGACTATGCCCAGCTAATTTTTAAAAATTTTAGAGATGGGGTCTTGCTATGTTGGCCTGGCTGGTCTCAAACTCCTGGCCTCAGCAGTCCACCCGCCTCAGCTTCCCAAAGTGATGGCATTACAGGCATGAGCCACTGCGCCCGGCCACGTCCAGGCTGTCTTTATTTTGGATTTCTAGCAGTCTGCATGCGTGCTCAGGGATTCTTACACAGTGAAAGTCTAATTCACCAAACATGGCCAAATGTAAGCATGCAGCTATAATGCTAAAGTTAATAGGGGCATCTGAAGGCACAACTCAAACATTTATTGACTTCAGTGTTGTCCTTTTCAGAATCTGGAACCCATACTATTTTTCTCTTCTCAGGAGGCCTGTGGATGCTGAGAGGCCTGGGACCTGTATGGAGGGGCCTGAAAGGAAAATGGCCCTCCTCGAGTGAGGAGTTAGCTCTCGCCCTGATTCTGCTGCTGAGTGTGTTGTGTGTGTTATCTATGTATGTGCATGTATTTGTTTATGTGTGTGTGCATGTATTTGTATGTGTGTTGTGTATGTGAGTGTATTTGTGTGTGTGCATGTATTTGTGTGTATTGTGTATGTGAGTGCATGAATTTGTGTATGTGTATGCTGCATGTTTGTGTGCATTGATGTTTTTGTGTTGTGTATGGCATGCATGTATGTGTATGTTGCATGTGTGTGCATGTATCTCTGTTGCAGGTGTATCCTGTGTCTATACACATTTGTGTGTTGTGTGAGCATGTATTTATGTGTGTTGCATGTGTGTGCACATATTTGTATGCATGTGCATGCATCTGTATGTGTTGCATGTGTGCATATATTTGTGTCTGTTGTATGTGTGCGCATGTTTGTATAAGTGTGTTGTGTATCTGTGTATGTTGTATATGTGTGCATGCATGTTTTGTGTTGCAGATGTGTATGCATGTATGTGTTGCACATGTATGTGCATGTATTCATATATGTGTTGTATGTACACATTTGTGTGTGTGTTGTGTATTTGTGTTGTGTGTGCATGTATTTGTGTTGCATGTGTGTGAGCATGTATTTGTGTATGTGCGCATGCATGCATCTGTATATATGTTGCATGTGTGTGCATGTACTCCTATGTGTGTTGTGTGTGTTGTATATGTGTGCATGTATTTGTGTGTGTGCATATATTTGTATGTGTGTTGTGTGTATACACGTATGTGTATGTGTTGTATGTGTGCATGTATTTGTGTGCATGTACATGTGTGAGTTGTGTGTGTGCATGTATGTGTATGTGTGCATGTATTTGTATATGTGTGAGTTGTGTATTTGTGTATGTGTGTTGTGTGCATGTATTTGTGTATATGACTGTATTTGAATATTATTGATTTCTTTGTATTTATTTTTTATTTCTCAGTGTCCCTGTCACGGCAGCGTTTGTGTTTTACCCTGAGAATGGTGGGAAACATCAGGGCAGGGAGCAGTGGCGATTCTTAGAGAGATGGCCCTGGCAACTGCATAGAGAGAAGGAAGGAGTGCACTTGAGCCTGCAGGTGATGCAGAGGCTCATGGGTACCAGTGGAAGCACGGAGGCGGGACCTCAGCAGAATGAGTAGAAAGAGCATGAAGAGGAGATGAGCTTGGTGGGGACAATGGCCTCAGGAGACCCTGGGCAGCACTGAAGGGCACAGAGGCCCCCAGTCCCCACTGGTCCTCTCTGGGGTCCGATGCAGACTCTTACCTGGAGTAACTGGCATGGGGCAGAACAGAGATCCTCTCCGTTGCCGTTGGTAGATCCAGGTGCAGAGAATCACAGTGACCACATAGAACACATACAAGCCCAGGTAACCTGCAGACGGGGTGCACGCCGTCACCAAGTGGTGTCCTGGTGCAGGTCTAGAGAACAACAGCTGGCAGTTCTATCAGTGGTGCGTGTTAGCGGTGGCAATCTGTGTTAGCCCATCCAGGTACCAGTGGGTAAATGGCCTTTTCCTTGAGCTCCCCACTCCTTCCTCCTGCCTTCCAGGACCATCTCCCTTCCTGTCTCCCTTGCAATCAAGGAGGTAATACCCAAGCACAGCGAGAGACCTCCAGGTCCCCATTCAAGTACTAAGGGTCGGTGTCCTGCTCTGTGCCCTGGGAGGAGGCAGCCCTGTAGCTCTGGCTACAGCTAGGTTCAGCCAATGGGAGGCCAGACAGGAAATCAGAAGCAGCGGGAGAGACTCTGGAGTCTTTCTTCCTACTCCCTCCCTGTTGCGTGTCTCTGGCAGGGCTTGCAACCCTCTTCAGTATAGCTCCAGGCCTCCAGCCCTCCAACTCTCACTGGGCTCCACCACCCCCTTCCCTGCCCCTGCTGCCACGAGGGATGAGTGCGTTCGCAGCTCCCATTGTTGCTGGCCCCTGAGTATCTCGAATCTCGGTTTCCCTTGCTGGTTTCATTTTCCTTCTGTACAAATTGTCCCTCCATTCATACCCCTTGAGCCGTCTGAATGGAACATGTTTGCTGTCACGATCCGGGTGGCCCCAGTTAGCGTCCCATCTTTACTGCTTGTTAAAATTGGAAATTATGAAACTTTCTTTTTTTTGAGACAGAGTCTTGCTCTGTTGCCCAGGCTGGAGTGCCATGGCACAATCATGGGTCACTGCAGTCTCGAACTCCTAGGCTCAAGGGATCCTCCTGCCGTAGCTTCCAGAGTAGCTGGGGCCACAGGAATGCACCACCACCATGCCCAGCTAAGTTTTTTCTTTTTTGTAGAGATGTAGTCTCGCTATGTTGCCCAGGCTGGTCTCAAACTCCTGAACCAAAGTGATCCTCCTGCCTCAGCCTCTCAAATTGCTGGGATGATAGGTGTGAGCCATCACGCTTGGCCAAAAAATTGTGACACTTTTGAATACTCCCTCCCCAGCCCCCAGCTCTGCCAGGCCTCTTTGGTTATGTGACCCACATGTTCCCATTTTTGCTCAAGCCAGCTTGAGGAGGGTTTCTGTCACTTGTAATCAAATCAAAGCCCCCACTGACCACCCCTCACACCTCTCTGTCCCAGGCACCTCCTAAACCTCCTGCCCATCAGCCCTGGGATCTCACGCCTGAGCCCCAGAGCTGCTCACCCAGAGCCCATGCCAGGGTGACCCTGCCACGGAAGAGCATGAGGAAGGTCAGGAACACAGCCACCATGTAGAAAACGATGTCCCTGAAGAAGGGCCTGGAGGCAGCCATGAAGGGGTGTAGGATGGTAATGCCTCCGGCCACCACTGTGGTAACCAGCACGCCAGCGCCTGGGGGGAGGAGGCCAGAGCTCAGCCACCCTGCACCCTCTCCTGCTGCTTTCCCCGCCCCCCTCACTGGGGCTGCTCTCACCAAACAGTGCCCCAAGGGCCAGGCCGGCTGTGTGCGGGTCAGAGAAGGCCACCAGGGCACTGAAGATGTCAGGTGCACCATTCCCAAATGCCAGGAAGGTGACGCCATGTGGGGAGCATGTCAAGGCGGGCCAGGATCGCAGCTGCAGCCCACCCAGGCCTTCGACCCTATCCCCCAGCTTCCCCACACGGGGATAGACATGACCCTATCTCCCAGCCTCCCCACAACTGCCCTCCCTCCAGGGTGCAGGACACTGGACAAAAGGATACTGCCACGTTGTGGGAGAGCTTCAGTGTGGTAGAAATGGCCGACAAGTTGGGGCAGAAACTACGGAGAAAAAGCGGACGGGAAGCATTTCCGTAGTAACCGGCCCCGGACCCCTATCCTTCCCCCAAACTGAGGGTGACCGAATGTCAGCCTCCTGGGACCCCTCCTCCCATTGATAAGCCAGACCGGAGCCCAGAGCCAAACTCACAACTTGGCTGCGGTGACTCCCAGAATCAGAAACAGGTAGAGCAGCCAGGAAACCTGGGTGGGGAGCGGGCGAGGAAGGGAGAGTCAAGTCCAGCTGGAGACACCAGCCCCTCTCACCAGCCCCCCAGGGCAGGGCCTCACGTAGAGAGTGACAGCCAGAGGGAGGAGGCTGGGAGGGAAGTGGCAGAAGATGCCTTCCAGGTAGTCCAGGTACCCCCCATCACTGTGGCAGTCAGGGTTGGTCCGGATGAAGTCACAGCGGTCAGAGACATTCAGGCCACACACCTTGCGGCACTGCAGGAAGACAGGGAGGGGGACATCAGCGGCAGAGACTTCCCTGAGAACTAGACTAGGCCCATCTAAGCAGCTAAACATAATGTCCCTTCAGCCTGGTCTCCAAGGCCACCATACCCTCTGGGTGCCAACTATGGATGCACTTTTAATTTTAAAAATAAACGTCTGCTTGAAATTGACATAAGTAATTCATGAATACATATTTGTTTTTTAAAAAAACCAATACATAAGATTTCTAAATTCCGCTTTCTTATCCCTGCCCTCCGTAAATCCCCCTCTCCAGTGGTCCCACCATAATTAGTTTGAAGCACATCCTTACAGACATTTCTCAGATCAATTATATTTGTATATATATCCTATTACACACTTTGTTTTGTTTAACAGAAATGGATCCATCCCAAATCTCTTGTTTCTATAATTTGCTTTTACCATTATATATATATATATATTAATATACCTTAATATACAGAATTTGAAACATACTATAGTGATTTCTATATGCAAAGCATAGTGCTAAGAGCTTAAAATGTATCTCAATTAATCTGTACAATAATTCTATGATGGCTGGGGGCAGTGGCTCATGCCTATAATCCCAGCACTTTGGGAGGTTGAGGTGGGAGGATTGCTTGAACCCAGGATTTCAAGACCAGCCTGGACAACATAGCAAGACCCCATCTCTGCAAAAAAATAAAATAAAAAATTAGGTAGGCATGGTGATGTGCACTTGTAGTCCCAGCTACTCAGGAGACTGAGGTGGGAGGATCACCTGAGCCCAGGAGGTTGAGGCTGCAATACTGCATTTAGCTTGGGGAATAGAATGAGATCTTGTCTCAAAAAAAAAAAATATGTATCTCAATTACTCTGCACAACAGTCTGCGAGGAAGGAACTATTATCATGCCCATTAAACAGTTAAGGAGACTGAGACAATGTCCGTGTGCACTCAGTGGGAGGGTCAAGGTTGGAACCCAGGCAGTTTTAGGCTCTAGGGCCCACTGTTCTCCCCTGCCTCCCCACAGAGTCTTTCACTGCAGCAGAGTATTTCATACTATGGGTGATACATCACTGAGGTAAACATTTCCCTACTGGGCATTTGGGTATGCCTAGTTTTTCAATATAGCCAATGAGCTTCCTCACACATGACTCTCTGAGCACATATGAGAAAAATGTTGTCAGAGAAGATTTGAGAAGAGAAAGTGCTGAATCAGAGGGTATCCTGGTCTGGGTTCCTCCAGAAGCTGACTCAGAGACAAAGATTGAGATGGACATAGTATGTTTGGGAGACCTGAGGAACACAAACATAGAGAAAGGGAAGTGGGCCCGGGTGTGGTGGCTCACGCCTGTAACTGTAGCATTTTGGGAGGCCAAGGCTGCAGGATCACTTGACCTCAGGAGTTCGAGACCAGCCTGGGCAACATGACAAAACTCCATCTCTACAAAAAATACAAAAAAAACTAGCCGGGCTTGGTGGCATACGCCTGTAGTCCCAACTACTCAGGAGGAGGAGGTGGGAGGAGCACCTGAGCCTGGAAGTTCAAGGTTGCAGAGAGCTATGATTGTACCACTGCAGTCCAGCCTGGGTGACAGAGTGAGACCCTGTCTCAAAAGAAAAAAATAAAAGAAATAGGAGAAAAGAAGTGGTACAGAGAAGGGATAGCTGCCAACGAAGGCTGGGTTGAGCCAGTTACCACCACCATGAGCTTAATCAGGAGGCAAGGGAGCTGGGATATTTATACACCAACTCTCATCAGCCATTGGGTGAGGACTGCTAGATGGAGGTTTTAGTTCCCCAGCACCTCTAGCCTACTATGCTTATAAGTGGTTCTAGAACAATAAACTGGCAACTGGAAGTCAACAAAAGCCCACCAAAATAGTACAGTCCAAAAGAAATGCTCAAGGCCCTGACAAGGGATCTTCAACATTGCTAGATTTTGCCAAAATGCCCTGGCCAAGCTCTACCTACATACACTCCCACCAGGAATGGGAAATAAGCAATTCTCATAAGCCTGCACCCACATTGGCTATGAGCAGCCTTATTCAGATCAATGTGATAGGAATGTCATTGTTAAACTGCAAGTCTGGCCAGGTGTGGTGGCTCATGCCTGTAATCCCAGCACGTTGGGAGGCCGAGGTAGGCGGATCACTTGAGGTCAGGAGTTCATGACCAGCCTGGTCAACATGGGGAAACCCCGTCTCTACTAAAAATACAAAAATGAGCCAGGCGTGGTGACATCCACCTGTAGTCCCAGCTACTCAGGAGGCTGAAGCAGGAGAATCGCTTGAACCCAGGAGGCAGAGGTTGCAGTGAGCCAAGATCATACCACTGCACTCCAGCCTGGGTGACAAAGTGAGACTCCATCTCAAAAAAAAACAACAACAAAAAAAGCTAAGACAGTAAATTTTAGGTTATGTGTATTTCATTATAATTTTTTAAAAGCTTTGTCAAACCACAGTTCCACCTCCTCCACAAGCCCTCTCTGAACTCCCACTAACACCAGACTGGAAGTGAGATTTCTTATCTCTGAGCCTCTGGCCTTCTCACCAATTTTTGCTAAGAGCTCTACCCACCCATACAGTATCCCCTGAGCAGAGACTGAAACCCCCAGCCCTGCCCCAACCCCTCAATCTTTCTACAGTGTCCTGTCCTCAGAAAGCACATGCCAGCTGGGAAGATGAAATCTGTGGCCAGGTAAACTGGCTCACACCTGTAATCCCAACACTTTGGGAGGCTGAGGCAGGAGGATCGCTTAAGCCCAGGAGTTTGAGACCAACTTGGGTAACATAGTAAGACCCCATTGCTACAAAAAAATTTAAAAATGAGCCAGGCATGGTGGCACACGCCTGTGGTTCCAGCTACTTCAGAGGCTGAGGTGAGAGGATTGCTTGAGTCTGGGAGGTTGAGGCTGCAGTGAGCTATGATGGCACCACTGCTCTCCAGCCTGGGTGACAGAGCAAGCCTGTCTCAAAAAAAAACAAACAAACAAAAAAAAAAACTTTTCTTTTTTTGAGATCAGGACAACCTGAGCATAATACCCACTCAGCCACTCAGCTCTACCTTTTTTTTTTTTTTTTTTTTTGGAGACAGAGTCTCCCTCTGTCACCCAGGCTGGAGTACAATAGCACAATCTCGGCTCACTGAAACCTCCACCTCTCGGGTTCAACTGATTCTCCTGCCTCAGCCTCCCGAGTAGCTGGGACTACAGGTGCCCACCGACACGCCCGGCTAAGTTTTGTATTTTTAGTAGAAATGGGGTTTCACCACGTTGGCCAGGCTGGTCTCAAACTTCTGACCTCAAGTGATCTACCTGCCTTGGCCTCCCAGAGTGCTAGGATTACAGGTGTGAGCCACTGCGCCCAGCCCCTTTTTTTTCCTTTGAGACAGAGTCTCACTCTGTCGCCTAGGCTGGAGTGCAGTAGAGCAATCTTGGCTCACTGCAACCTCCACCTCCTGGGTTCAAGTGATTCTCCTGCCTCAGCCACCTGAGTAGCTGGAACTACATGCACACAACACCACACCTGGCTAATTTTTGTATTTTTGGTAAAGATGAGGTTTCACTGTGTTGGCCAGGCTGGTCTTGAACTCCTGACCTCAAGTGATCCACCTACTTCAGCCTCCCAAAGTACTGGGATTACAGGTGTGAGCCTCCATGCCCAACCAGCTCTACCATCTAAGAGCTGTATCTGTAGCAATTCCCTTCCTCTCTTTGAGCTTCAGTCTCATTTGTAAAATGGGACTAATTATACCAACCCCATTGATAAAAGAATCAAATGAGATTACAGGTGTTCAAATTTGCCCTCCTCAGAGACTTTCCATGTAAAGTAGTTATTACCCCTATCTCCACTATTAATACCCAGTTTTCTGCATTCACAGCAGTTATCACAATCTTTATTTTGTTCATTTCCTTGTTTACTGAATTTTATTATTTTAGAGACCAGGTGCTTTGTCACTCAGGCTGGAGTGCAGTGGGGCAATCATGGCTCACTTCAGCCTCGAACTCCTGGGCGCATGTGATCCTCCTGCCTTTGCCTCCCAAGTAGCTGGGACTACAGGCATGCACCACCACACCCAGTTAATTTTTTTAAAAATTATTTTTTGTAGAGATGGAGGTCTTGCTATGTTGCCTAGGCTGGTCTTCAACTCCTGGCCTCAAGCCATCCTCCCACCTCAGCCTCCCATTGTGCTGGGATTATAGGCGTGAACCACCAAACCTGGCCTTAATTTTTTTTTTTTTTTTTGAGACGGAGTCTCGCTCTTTCGCCCAGGCCAGACTGCAGTGGCGCTATCTCGGCTCACGGCAAGTTCCGCCTCCCAGGTTCACACCATTCTCCTGCCTCAGCCTCCCGAGTAGCTGGGACTACAGGCGCTCGCCACCACGCCCAGCTAATTTTTTGTATTTTTAGTAGAGATGGGTTTCACCGTGTTAGCCAGGATGATCTCGATCTCCTGACCTTGTGATCCACCCGCCTCGGCCTCCCAAAGTGCTGGGATTACAGGCGTGAGCCACCGCGCCCAGCCCTGAATTTTTTTTGTCTGCATTCTTGTATTTGCCCTGAGCCTGGCCTGTAGTAGGGGCTTAATACATTTGTGTTAATGGCTGCTTGAATGACTAAGTGATTTTGTGTAGCCTTTCCAACACTCCTGCGAGGCAAATGGAATGATTCCCCTTTAACATATGGGTAAGCCAAGGGTCAGCAAACTTCGGCCCCTGGACCACATCCAGCCCACCATCTGGTTATGCACAGCCTGCAAGCCAAGAATGATTCTTACATTTTTAAATGGTTGGGAGACATAAATCAAAAGAAGAATTTTCCATGACATGTAAAATTATATAAAACTCAAGTTTCCATTTCCATAAATATTTACTGGGGCACAGCCACACCCATTCGTTGATGTACAATCTGTGGCTACTCAGGCACTGTGAGAGCAGTGAGTAGTTGTAGAAACCATGTAGCCCACAAAGCTGAAAATATTTACTGTCTAGCTCTTATTCTATTCTTTCTTTCTTTTCTTTTTTCTTTTTTATTTACTTATTTATTTTGAGACGGAGTCTTACTCTGTTGCCCAGGCTGAAGTACAGTGGTGAGATCTCAGCTCACTGCAACCTTTGCCTCCTGGGTTCAAATTATTATCCTGCCTCAGCCTCTGGAGGAGCTGGGATCACAGATATGTGCCACCACGCCTGGCTGATTTTTTTATTTTTAGTAGAGATGGGGTTTCACCATGTTGGCCAGGCTAGTCTCAAACTCCTGGCCTCAAGTGATCCACCAGCCTCCGCCTCCCAAAGTGCTGGGATTACAGGTGTGAGCACTGTGACTGGCCTCTTTTCTTTCTCTCTCTTTTTTTTTTTTTGAGACAAGGTCTCACTGTTGCCCAGGCTGGAGTGCAGAAGCATGATTATAGCTCACTGCAGCCTCAAACTCTTAGGCTTAAGGAATTCCCCCGACTTCAACCTCCCAAGTGGCTGGAGCTACAAATGTGAGCCCACAACCCGGCCCTACTATCTGGCTCTTTACAGAAAGTCTGTGCCCCAGGCTGGAGTGATGGTGTGCACATCCCAACCCAGGCTTGGGAATCTCCATCAACTATTCCCACCAAAACATGCAGATGCAAGTCTCAAGTTTCTGTCCTGAGCTTCCCTTATCCCATCCCCAGCTCCCACCCAAAAGCAACAGTCAGGCTGGGCTCCTTCCATACTGGGAGGGGGAGGGTTTCAGTCTTGCCCTAAGCCTGGGCCTGTGGCTTTGCTGGGGCCCAGGAATTTCCCAGGGAGATAAAGTCACCCAAGGGGTTTCTGACAAAGAGGGTCCCACCCAGCACAAGGAGGAAGGACACTAGATGGGGGCCAGGGAAGCAGGCGGGCTGCCATTTCCTCCTCTGGGAGGAACAATAATAATCATATTGGGAGGCAGTACAGCTCCCTCTACTGAGCCCTCCTCTCTCATGAAACTGCCTGGTTGAAATTCTAATTTGCGTCCTTCTAGGTGAGTGATTTTGGGCAAGTAAATTAACCTCAGTGTTCTCCTCTGAACAATGGGGGCAATAACACCCACAAGCCTAGACAGGAATGGGATAAGGACATGGAGGCCAGGCATTGTGGCTCACATCTGTAATCCCAGTGCCTGAGCCCATGAGTTTGAGACCAGCCTGGCCAACATGGTGAAACTCCATCTCCACTAAAAATATAAAAATTAGCCAGGCACGGTGGCGTGTGCCTGTGTTCCCAGCTACTCAGGAGGCTGAGGCAGAATAACTTGAACCCGGGAGGCGGAGGTTGCAGTGAGCCAAGATCACACCATTGCACTCTAGGCTGGGCAACAGAGTGAGACTCTGTCTCAAAAAAAAAAAAAAAAATAGGCTGGGCGCGGTGGGTCACACCTGTAATCCCAGCACTTTGGGAGGCCAAGGCAGGTGGATCACCTGAGGTCAGGAGTTCGAGCCCAGCCTGACCAACATGGTGAAACCATCTCTACTAAAAATACAAAAAGCCGGGCATGGTGGCAGATGTCTGTAATCGCAGCTACTTGGGAAGCCAAGGCAGGAGAATCGCTTGAACCCAGGAAGCAGAGGTTGCAGTGAGCTGAGATTGCACCATTGCACTCCAGCCTAGGCAACAAGAGCGAAACTACGTCTCCAAAAAAAAAAAAAAAAGGTTGCATTATCATCATCTAAGTTTTAATTATTTATTTATTTATTTATTTATTTAGAGACAGGTTCTGTCTATGTCACCCAGGCTGGAGTGCAGTGGCGTGATCACAGCTCACTCCAGCCTCAACCACTCAGGCTCAAGCAGTCTCCTACCTCAGCCTCCTGAGTAGCTGGCACCACAGGTGCGCATCACACGAGGCTAATTTTTAAATTTTTTGTTGAGAAGGGGTCTCGCCTTGTTGGCCAGGCTAGTCTCAAACTCCTGGGCTCAAGTGATCCTCCCGCCTCGGCCTTCCAACGTGCTGGGATTACACAGGTGGGCCACCAAGCCTGGCCAGAAATTTTTCTCTCTTAAACAATACTTGAATTCATCCCTTCCTTCCATCTCCACCAGCACGGAGAACAACTGCAGAGGTTCTCATCTGGCCTCCTACCCCCAATCTTACCAGAGGGGCTCTTTCTAATGTGCTCCCTCCTCCAGCTGCTGAAGAGCTCTCCTTTGCCTGTTTTTGGTCCCTGTGTTCTGCCCTTGTCAGTCTCCAGTAAAGCTCGTCTGGTCAGCTGTCAGGTCCTGGAATGCCCAGACCCTCCTGGCATTGGTCCAGCTTTTGTACATGCTGTTCCTTCTGCCTGGTGCCACGATTATTTTTCCTCTATTTAATCCACATTCACCACCCAATTCTTGGTTCCCAGGACACTTCTTGCAGGAAGCCCTCCCTGACTACTCCCAGCCTAGCTGGCCCTCCCAGTTACTTTTTTTTTTTTTTTTCCTTTTTTGAGATGGAGTCTTACTCCATCGCCCAGGCAGGAGGGCAGTGGTATGATCTCAGCTCACTGCAACCTCCATCTCATGGGTTCAAGAGATTCTCCTACCTCAGCCTCCCGAGTAGCTGGGATTGCAGACGTCCACCACCATGCCCAGGTAATTTTTGTATTTTAGTAGAGATGGGGTTTTGCTATGTTGGCCAGGCTGGTCTCGAAATCCTGGCCTGAAGTGATCCACCTGCCTCGGCCTCCCAAAGTGCTGGGATTACAGGTGTGAGCCACCGCACCCAGGCAGGATCATAGACTTGCTTAATATCTGCCCCTCCCACTAAAGTCTCGCACAGTGCCTGGCAGAGTAGGCCCTCCTAACAGTTGTGCTGCACACCGTGCTGGGCATCATCTCACCCATTCAGTCTTCATCAGAGACCCAGGAGGTTGGCACAATTGTTTCCACTTCACAGATGAGAAAACTGAGGCACAGAGAGGCAAAGTGGCTTGCCCAGGAGCACACAGCCCACCACTGAGAAGTGGCTCCAAACTCAGCTCCGCCTGAAAGTTACTCGCTGAAGCTCCTGAGGAAACTGCCCAACTGGGCAGGGGCAGCCTCCATTTCCTGTCCTCTCACTATCTTCCTGCCCTCCCTCCTCCCTGTCCTCGGGGTCAGCTAGGGAGGATGCAGGGAGTCACCCCATCTCCCTGATGGCAGAGTGAGTCAGCAAGGTGGGTCCCCCAAATCTGGCCTCCAAAATCACATTACTGTGCAGTCTGTCTCGCTCTGCCCTCCCCGAGCTGCACAGCCCTCCCCCAGGTCCCTCAGGACCCCTCCCCAGCTCTCTGCTCAAGAGAGACAGAGTAAGGTGGGATTGCTCTGCGTCTGGGGGAGGGAAGGAGTGACTTCACTTCCTTCCAGTCCTTCCCACCCTCTTTCCTATGTCACTAACTCAGTCCCAGGAAACCCAAAGAGGTGCACACAGAGGTCAGGCTGGACAGGAAAGGGTAACCAACTCAATACCTTGGAATTCTTATAAAAACTTACATCAGATCACATCCTCTTGTGCTCTAAAGCCTCCCATGGCTCCCACCTTCCTCCCACTGACAGCCAAGTCTACAGTGGTCCCCAGGGCCCCTGTTCTCTCCTGCCTGGTCTCCCTTCCTTCTCCCTTGCTCACTGTTCCAGCCACTTTGCAAAATCTGTCATTCTGCTCCTGCCCCAGGGCCTTTGCATCTACTGTTCCCTCACTTCCCCTGGATCTTCATAAGCCATTCAGGTCTCAGTCTAAATGTCATGTCCTCAGAGAGGCCTTCCATGATAGCCTAAGCAAAGCAGCACCCCCCTCCCCCTCACCCTGTGGAATGATTTGTCAACTTGCTTCTCATCCATGACCCCACTAGAGTATAAGCTCCAGGGGGGCAGGGACCAGGCTCTCTGCTTCCTGCTATCCCCTCAGCACATGGCACAGGCCCTGGCACATAGTAGGTGCTCAATAACTATTTGTTGCATTAATGACTACTTGAAAAGGACCTAAGGTAAGGGGCTGGGGGGGCCTTTCCCAGCCTGCAGGCTCCCTGGATGGTGGGGACTTCCAGAAAGGCAGCTGCCCCATCTGTCCTGTGAGGCGGTGGACTAGAGGGGAAGGGGATGGATTTAGCATGAAGCAGCCAAGGGTTCTCATCCTGGCTCTGCCACTTTCCTCCTGGCCACCTTCACCTCCCTGAACCTTGGAGTCTTCATCTATAGCACAGAGATAATCACTCCCACCTCACGGGGTTTGGGGGAGGACTTGTGGGCACAAGGCTGATCTAAGTGCTCAATAACTTGGAGAGATTATCTGGCACAATTATCTGGTATGATCTCCCAGTTTTCCTGCCCCCAAGGAGCACGCTCCAAGAGGGGGTACTCAATTTTATAACCACAGTAACCACAAACCACTTTCCCATCTGTAAAATGGGCTTAATTGCCTGTTGCCTGTTTCACAGGGTGGACTTGAAGGCACTTTGCAGCCTCATAAAGTTGCTGTGGGCATTGAATGCTCTCAGCCCATCAGTTTGAGTTTGGGATTCCTGCTGAAGAAATGGTGAGAACTCCAGTCCCTGGCAGCTACAGGGCACTCCAGGGGGTCATCTTGAGCAGTCCTCTGCTTTTGTTCCTTCACTCCAGATCTGCTGTGACCTCCTCTTCTCCCCTTACAGACATCAGAGCGGAAAGATGCAAGTTCTCTGTAGCCTGTCTCAACAGGCTGTGCCCTCCCTGCCCTGGGAGGAAGGCCTCTTGCCTCTAACTCCAGCGTCGTCATTGGTCCTCCCTCAGTGCTCCCCATTCAAATCACAGCACCAGCACACCCTCAGCTGATCAGGCCAGGAACCTGGAGCCATCCACAACTCCTCTCTTTCTCCCACCACTGGGAGAAAGAGAGAGGGTGGGAGTTCAATACCAGCCTGGCCAACATGGTGAAACCCTGTTTCTACTAAAAATACAAAAAAATTAGCCAGGTGTGGTGGTGTGCACCTGTAATCCCAACTACTCGGGAGGCTGTGCATAAGAATCGCTTGAACCCGGGAGGTGGAGGTTGCAGTGAGCTGAGATCGTGCCATTGCACTCCAGCCTGGGTATAGAGTGAGACTGTTCTCGAAAAAAAAAAAAAAAAAAAAAATTGAGTCAGTGGACTGGGAAAAGCAGACCCACCCTCAATCTGGGTGGGTGCAATCTAATCAGCTACCAGCACAGCCAGAATAAAAGCAGGCAGAAGAATGTGGAAAGACTAGACTGGCTTGGTCTTCTGGCCTGCATCTTTCTCCCATGCTGGATGCTTCCTGCCCTCAAACATCAGACTCCAAGTTCTTCAGCTTTGGGACTCTTGGACCTTCAGCCACAGACTAAAGGCTGCACTGTCAGCTTCCCTGCTTTTGAGGTTTTGGGACTCAGACTGACCTCCTCGCTCTTCAGCTTGCAGATGACCTATTGCGGGACCTCACCTGTGATCATGTGAGTCAATATTCCTTTAAAAACTCCCCTTTACATATACATCTATCCTATTAGTTCTGTCCCACTAGAGAACTCCGACTAACACAGATTTTGGGACCCTCTGCTTAAAACCTTCCATTGGCTCCCCACTATCGCAAAACAATTCTCACCTCCTAGCCGCAGCCTGTAAGGCCTTTTGTAATCTGCCCGCCATTACCTCTCCATCCTCCTCTCTTAGCATTCTTCCCCTCACTTGCTCTGTTCCATCCATTCTAGCCTCCCTGCTGTTACGGGAACACACTAAGCTTGTTCCTGCTCCAGAATCTTTGTACTTGCTGTTCCCTTTGCCCAGAATGCTCTTCCCCGGGGTGTCAATGTAGGTGGTTTCCTCTCTCCATTCGCTGGCTTGCCTCAAATATCACCCCCTCACAGAAGCCATCTGTGACCACCCAATCTGAAATAGTTGGAAAAGCTCACGCCCTCCCCCATACCACTTTAGCTATTGTGTGCGGGGCACTTAGCACATCGCCACCTGAAATGTATATGCTTACTTCTCTTTTTTTTGTTGTTGAGACAGAGTCTTGCTTCGCCGCCCAGGCTGGAGTGCAGTGGTACAATCCTGGCTCACTGCAACATCCACCTCACGGTTTCAAGCAATTCTCCTGCCTCAGGGTTCTGATGATTACAGGCACCTGCCACCATGCCCAGCTAATTTTTGTATTTTTAGTAGATACGGGGTTTTGACACGATGGCCAGGCTGGTCTCCAGCTCCTGGCCTCAAGTGATCCTCCTGCCTTGGCCTCCCAAAGTGTATAAGTTTACTTCTTGATCTGTCTGTTCAGGAGACTGTCAGCTTCTTGAGAGTAGTGAATTTTGTCTCTATTGTTCCCCGGTATATCCCAGGCTGCGGTCAGTGCCTGGCACATAGTAGATGCTCAATAGATATTTATCGATTGGAGGAACACAGCCCCACTCAACCCCAGGTTCCTACCGGGATACTCACGTCTACCACGGGGGTCTGGTTCACACCTGAAGCTGGAAACTGGGGGCTAATGTGAGCTCCTGTAGACGAGCCCCTAGTCCCAGACACTGTCTCCGCCATTAGCAGCACACAAAGCACACTCAGTGCCCAGCGCAGATTCAGCCTTCTGCCGGCCATCTGCCCCCACGGGGCCTGGCCCTTACTCTCCACTTCCCTTTCTGCAGTAGCTCAGTTCCAAACAGCTGGCGGCTCCGGTGGCCTGCAAGGTGGGAGTGAGAAAGGGGGACAACATTACTGAAAACCCATGGACACAGCAAAAGGGGCTGGAAGACTCTAGTTAAGGAACTGCCTTCCTGCCTCCCGGCAGCAAAGTTAAGCTGACGGAGAAACCATGTTCTGCACAGTCTCGCTGGAGGGGCCCAAGGCCCTGCCCATTCAGCGTGCAGATCAGATACGCCCTTCTTCCTGAGAACCCATGAAAACCTACCCAGTCCCACCTGGCCCCCAGCCTGAGGCCAGAATGCCAGGGCTGCAAGGGACTTGGGACTTGAGCCAAGATTCAGAGTCTCAGGCTTCTGGGGCAGGTGGGTGAGATACATGTGGGAAGTGGGCAGTGGGCGGGATTGCAGAAGCCCTCAAAACAAAACAAAACAAACTCTACTTCTAGGGGTGGACTTGGCCTCTGGGCCACCAGTTTGAGACGTAGAGAGGCTTGCCCACCACATTTTACAGAGCCCACTAAGCAATGCTGTTGTTCTGTGTCTTACAAGGAGCCAAGCTTTACATGGATGACCTCATTCTATCCTCACGACATGCCGAGCGGGGGTAGCACTAGCATTCCATTTTACAGATGAACTAACTGAGGCACAGACAGGTGAAGCCAGGCTTGTTTCCCCCCTGCATCACGCCTCCCTCATGCAGTCCTCAGAACAATTCTGGAAATGTCACCCCCCCGCCCCCCACCCCACCCTGCACAGCAGGGAGAGGGGCTCAGAGGAGTGTTTTTTGTTTTTTGTTTGTTTCTTCAGATGGAGTCTCACTCTGTTACCCAAGCTGGAGTGCAGTGGCGCGATCTCAGCTCACTGCAACCTCTGCCTCCCGGGTTCAAGTGATTCTCCTGCCTCAGCCTCCCGAGTAGCTGGGATTACAGGCACACACCACCATGCCCAGCTAATTTTTGTATTTTTAACGGAGACGGGGTTTCGCCATGTTGGCCAGGCTGGTCTGGAACTCCTAGCCTCAAGTGATCTGCCGGCCTTGACCTCTCAAAGTGCTGGGACTACAGGCGTGAGCCACCACACCCAGCAGAGGAATTCCAGAACCTGCCCAAGGTCACACAGCAAGAGGGTCACAGAGCCCACAGCCCCTCCGACAGGGAACTTAAGGGCAAGAAGGAAGTTGAGTTGCTCAAAGACCGCGGGTTAGCAGTGGGGCCGGGCTGGTCACCACCATGTGCCTCTTCCCTCAAGACCAGGGCCAAAATGGCTTCAATATATTTCAAAGGAATTAAACTGGAAAAACAAAAGTCCTCAGCAAACTAAATTTCCTGTTTTGGCTTTTTCATGTGTTCTACGATGAGTATGTCTTATTTTTGCAATCAGGAAACCAAACCCCATAAAAACGTTTTTTTCTTTAAGTCTGCGCAGGTGTTTCTCAATGTACTGGCAGCCTGAGGGGAGGGAGAGGAGGTAGGGAGGGGAAGAGAGGTCAGAAAGGCGCCTGTCCCAGCCAGGTTCCTTACCTGTCCACGGAAGACACGGCCCTTCCTCTTCTATGGTTCTCCCGAACCCCTCCAACTGGAGTCCGAGTTACTCTATTTGGCACCAAGTTCAAACAGGACACCCCTGGTTTCAAATTCGTCTCGGCCACTTACTATCTGTGTGGCCTTAAGGAAGTCACTTCACCTCTCTGGGCCTCTTATTCCTCATGTGTGAAATGGACACAAATGCTGGCCGACGCGGTATACAATAAGAGCTCAATAAATGTTCGCGTCCCTGATGTCCCCAACACCTGAAGATCAGCATGCGTCTCGTCTCTCTTTGCTGCCGATTTATTTTACTGATTCACTAGTGAGCATTTATTGAGCGCCTTCTGTACGCGTGGGCCGATGCCCAGCGCTCGGATGGTCGCCGACCTGCTAAGGGACAGGGGCGGGAAATCGGGGCTGCGCTTCCCAGGAAAGAGACCTCAGGAACATCTCCGTGCTCCGTTTCCCGTCCGGACGGAGGCTGAGAAGTCGAACTCGGGGCGCCCGGGTCCTCCGGCCGTGCGGGGAGGCGGCTCTTTCTTACCTCGGGCCGGGCCTGGGACCAGCAAACTCCGAACCTCGACCTCGCAGGGCCTCGCAGCCTTCCAGGTCCCTGGCCGCCGGACCGACCTTGCGCCAGCGAAGCCGCCAGTCCGGGTGCCCCGCCTGCTGCAGCGTCCGGGCCCCTACTCTTCCCGTCCGGGCCCGCCCCGGCTCGCCCCGCCCCGGTCTCGGCCACGCCCTCAGGACACGCCCCCTCGGGGCTCGCCCCGCCCCTGCCCTTAAAGGTACAGCTCCCGGGGAGCTTCGTAGGGTCTTCCCACTCTCCACCGTCCTCTCCCTCCGCTTTGAAACTGAGATACAAGCCGATGGGTAAGGACTGCAGGAAGCCGGAGAGGGACATTTAGAGGGTGAAACTAGGAGGTTCATTTCCCGAGGGTAGAGGAACCAGAGGGTGTCAAGCTGCTCCTGGTAATGAATGGTGACAAAGAGGTTTGGGAAAATCCCAGGTGGAGAAAGCCCCACCCTGCCCAGGAAAGTTCTCGCGGTTTCACTGAAATCCTTCTGAGATCCTAATTGGGTTCAACATTCCCCTCTAGTAGCATAGCTTTTTTTTTTTAATTTAAATTTTAATTTTTTAAGCCAGGGTCTCACTCTATCGCCCAGGCTGGAATGCAGTAGCAGCTGTCACGGCTCACTAAAGCCTCGACCTCCGAGGCTCAAGCAATCCTCCCACCTCGGCCTCCCAAGTAGCTGGGACTGCAGGCAAGTGCCATCATGCCCGGCTAATTTTGTTCATTTTTTGTAAAATGTTCTTACTATGTTGGTCAAACTGGTCACGAACTCCTGGGCTTATATAATCCTCCCGCCTCAGCCTCCCACGTAGCTGAGACCACAGGTGTGTGCCACCAAACCAGGCTAGTTTTTAAAATTTTTTATAGAGACGAGGTCTCTATATGTTGCCCAAGTTGGTCTCAAACTCCTGGTCTCAAGCGATCCTTCTGCCTCTGCCTCCCAAAGTGTCAGAGCTGTGTAAACCAGAGCAACTCCATCTCGAGTGGGGCTGGGTAAAATGAGGCTGAGACCTACTGGGCTGCATTCCCAGACGGTTAAGGCATTCTAAGTCACAGGTTGAGATAGAAGGTGGGCACAAGATACAGGTTATCATAAAGACCTTGCTGATAAAACAGGTTGCAGTAAAGGAGCCAGCCCAAACCCACCAAAACCAAGATGGTGACAAGAATGACCTCTGGTTGTCCTCACTGCTGCACTCCCATCAGCGCCATGGCAGTTTACAAATGCCATGGCAACGTCAGGAAGTTACCCTATATGGTCTAAAAAGGGGAAACATAGATAATCCACCCCTTGTTTAGCATATCATCAAGAAATAACCATAAAAATGGGCAACCAGCAGCCCTCAGGGCTGTTCTGCCTATGGAGTAGCCATTCTTTTATTCCTTTACTTTCTCAATAAACTTGCTTTCACTTTACTCTATGGAATCACCCTGAATTCGTTCTTGCGCGAGATCCAAGAACCCTATCTTAGGGTCTGGATCAGGACCCCTTTCCTGTAACAAAAGTGCTTGGATTACAGGTGTGAGCCACCATGCCCACCTTTTTATCTAATATTTAAAATTTGTATTTAATTTTTTCCCTTTTCTTTTTGCTAATCTCTGTATTGTTCCAATTTTAGTATATGTGCTGCCGAAGGGGGCACATAGCATCGTTTTTAAAAGAAGGTGGCAAACAAATCAAGACCGAGGAGTTAGTGATCTGCTGATGGATGTACCAGTATCTCCCCCTATTTCCAGTTTCCCAGCCTCCTGGGGAAGCTCTGTTCATCCTGCCTTTTCTTCTGTTGGGGGGATGGGGGAATGGGAGGAGGCAGGCATGGGGCCTGGACCTGGGGTCCTTAAGGCTGGAGTGTGTCCTCCCAGGCCACTCCTGCCTGCAGCCCCACTTCTGCCATTAGCATGCATCTAGTCACCCCATCTCTTATCCTTACGGTAGGACCTGCTTCCTCGTCATGGGCAGGACCCAGGCCCAACGCCAAGCCTGGCATTCAAGGCCCTTCAGCATCCAGCCCTAGCACACCTTTCTGAAATCGTCTTTCACCCCTACCTCCACCTCCTGCCCAGTAGTGCTCCCTGTTCCCTGAACGTATCGGCCTCTTGCTCACAGCCACCTGCCTCTGCTCCTTCCGAGCCCCCTGCCCTGATGACACCCTATCTCTTTTCCACCTGACAAACTCTTACTCATGTTGTCAGGCTCAGCTCAGAGGTCACCGCCACTAGGGGGTCTTCCACCCTCCCCCCAACCCCTCCACATGGCCACAGGGCTCCCCACCTTCAGAGCACACCTCTAATTCCCACCTCTGGGCAGGTGACATTGTGATCTGGAGCATGATGTGTTTGGAATCGCAGAACATCAGGTTTCTGTAGGACCTTCTATAAACACTTAGAGCCTCTCTTTGAGCCTCAGTTTCCCCCTTGGTGAAATGGGAGTGATACTAGTACCAACCTCCTGAGGTCCTTCCAGATGTTTTTCCTTATCTTTTTTGAGACAGGGTCTCCTTCTGTCACCCAGGCTAGAATGCAGTGGTGTGATCTTGGCTCACTGCATCCTTGACCTCCTGGGCTCAAGCGATCCTCCCGCCTCAGCTTCCCAAGTAGCTGTGACTACAGTCGTGTGCCACCATGCCTGGCTCGTTTTGTTCATTTTTTGTAGAGACAGGGTGTCACTATGTTGCCCAGGCTGGTCCTGAACTCCTGGGCTCATGCAATCCCCCCACCTTGGCCTCCCAAATTGCTGTGATTACAGGCATGAGCCACCATGCCTAGCTGAAATAGGACACTGTGAAGAGCCCCAAACCCCATGCTGGATGCTGAGTCAACACTCCCTCAGTGGAAGGGTTTGTTGTCCCCATTAATTATTCCATTGTTGGCTGGGCGTGGTGGTTCGCACCTGTAATCCCAGCACTTTGGGAGGCTGAGGTGGGCAGATCACCCGAAGTCAGGAGTTCAACACCAGCCTGGCCAACATGGCAAAAACCCGTCTCTACTAAAAATACAAAAATTAGCCAGGCATGTGGCACAAGCCCACAATCTCAGTTACTTGGGAGGCTGAGGCACGAGAATTGTTTGAACCTGGAAGGTGGAGGCTGCAGTGAGCCCAGATCATGCCACTGCACTCCAGCCTGGGTGACAGTGAGACTCCATCTCAAAGAAAAATAAAAAATAAAAATTATTCCATTGTTACAACAATGCATTAACTTACCTTTCCATGTCCCCCACAGGCTGGGAGCACCTCGAAGCAGCACCAGGCCAGGTTCATCCCCATGTCCAGGCTGCCAGCACAGGGGCGTTCACAGTAGTGTCTGTGTGTCACAATCTCCAAGCCTGCTCCGGGGTCATCCTACTCCGGGGTCAGCTTTTCCCCAGGTCATCTGCTGCTTGAGAAGTAACTCCAGAATTGCTGAGTTTGAAGTCCTCCTTCCCCAAGGGGCCTGACCCTGGTAGCTAGGGTGAGGCTTAGATATCACCATTCTAGGTCAGCAGAGCAGGTGGGTTACTACCTCCCTGTCTCCCAGGACTGGGGTAGAGCAGGAAGCAAGGGGTGTTGGGGGAGAGTATGAGTATCTGTTGAGAGACTCCTGGAAAGATCCAGGCGGGGAGAGGAACCCCTGGGGACAGAGAAGAAAGATAGATGGGGCCTGGGATAGCCCCTGGTTCACCCCTGCTCTGGTAGACAGTGGTTAGGGTTAGGGCCTATTCCCCAGGCTGAGAAAGGCCATTTTGACATGTTAGGAGCAGACTTAGAAGTCATCCAGATCCGAGCTCAAATCCCAGCTCTGCCATTTACTGGCTATTTGGCCCTGGACCAGTTATTTTGTCTTTTTGAGTCTCAGTTCCTTACCTGGAAAATGGGGATGAAAACAGCACCTATAGGGCCCACTCATCAGGCTATAGTGAGGATTGAGATTTTATATGTCGGCTGGGCACAGTGGTTCACACCTGTAATTCAGCACTTTGGGAGGCTGAAGTGGGAGGATTGCTTGAGGCCAGGAGTTCGAGACCAGCCTGGGCAACATAGCAAGACCCTGTCTCTACTATTATAATTTTAAAGAACAAGGAGATTATATAATAAAACCCATAGCATAGTGCCTGGCACTTGTTAAAGTTGAATAAATTGAAGCTGCTATTATTATTATTATTACTTTTTTTTTTTTTTTGAGACAGAGTCTTGCTCTGTCGCCCAGGCTGGAGTGCAGTGGCACAATCTCGGCTCACTGCCAGCTCCGCCTCCTGAGTTCACGCCATTCTCCTGCCTCAGCCTCCCAAGTAGCTGGGACTACAGGCGCCCGCCACCACGCCCGGCTAATTTTTTGTATTTTTAGTAGAGACGGGGTTTCACTGTGTTAGCCAGGATGGTCTTGATCTCCTGACCTCGTGATCCGCCTGCCTCGGCCTCCCAAAGTGCTGTGATTACAGGCATGAGTCACCATGCCTGGCCAAGCTGCTATTATTATTATTTATTATTATTACTGAAGGTAAAAGGACCTGACACAATGTCTGGCAGAGAGTAGATTAAATGTCGATTTACCACTTGAGCCCGGAAGGTCGAGGCTGCAATGAACTACGATTGTGCCCTTTCACTCCAGCCTGGGTGATAGAGCAAGACTCCCTCTCAAAAAAAAAAAAAAAAAAAAAAAAAAATTGAGAAGGATTTTGTGCTTGTATCAGTTACCTATTGCTGCATAACAAAACATGCCAAAATTTAGAGGCCTAATACAATAGCATTTCATTATCTGTCAGGGTTTCCATGGGTCAAGAATTTGGGAAGTCAGGAGGCCAGGGCAGGAGGATTGCTTGGCCTTAAAACAACTCAGGGAGGCCAGGCGTGGTGGCTCACACCTGTAATCCTAGCACTTTGGGAGGCCAAGGAGGGTGAATCACCTGAGGTCAGAAGTTCAAGACCAGCCTGGCCAACATGATGAAACTCCATCTCTACTAAAAATACAAAAATTAGCTGGGTAGGGTGGCGGGCACCTGTAATCCCAGCTACTCGGGAAGCTGAGGCAGGAGAATCACTTGAACCTGGGAGGCAGAGGTTGCAGTGAGCTGAGACCATACCACTGCTCTCCAGCCTGGGTGACAAGAGCAAAACTCCATCTCAAAAACAAACAACAACAACAAAAACAACATAGGGAGATCTTGTCTCTTATATACTTAAAAAAAAAAGGAGGGAAGGGCTCAGCTAGGCAGTTCTGGCACAAGTCTCTCCTTTGGTTGCCCAGATGTTTCTCATTCTTCCTGTCGCCTCAGGGCTTCTGCATGGGATTGTTCCATGCAAGCCGGTTTCTGGGTTTCCTTAGAGCATGGCCGTCCCAGGGCAGACATACTGCTTACATGGCATCTCAGGGTGCCAGTGCTGGGGTTCCAGGCATCAAAGCAGAAGCTGTATTGCCCTGTATTACTTCATTGTGGAAATGACACTGTGCCACTTCTTGTCACTTCTACCATCTTCACAGGCCCACCCAGATTCAAAGAGAGGAAATGTAGACCACTCCTCCCACCCCCCAGTGGGAGGTTTGTCAAAGTCACATCATAAGAAGAGCATATAAGGCTGGGTGAGTGGCTTATGCCTGTAATCCCAGCACTTTGGGAAGTCAAGGTGAAGGGATCACTTGAGGCCAGGAGTTCGAGACCAGCCTGGGCAACATACCAGCACCCCCATCTTGACAATAAATACAAAAATTAGCCAGGCATAGTGGCACTCACCTGTGATCTCAGCTACTCAGAAGGCTGAGGTGGGAGGATCGCTTGAGCCCAGGAGTAAGGCTGCAGGGAGCTATGATTCTGCCACTGCACTCCAGCCTGGGTGACAAAGCAAGATCCCAAATACAATCTCCCTCCATGCCTTCCTCTACAGAGGTGACCAATGGTGGGATGTTAGGCAGCATGATGGGCAGCAGAGGGGAGCTGTATTTAGGGGGTAGGAAGAGCAAGGACCCTCAAATCCCATTGGGTGGACATTTTCCTTCAGCATCACATGTGGGCTGATCGTGTCCTCAGAATCTTTGAACAAACCCCAAACCAATAAAAAGTAAATTACTATTTGTGTTTTGTTTGTTTGTGACAGAGTCTTGCTCTGTCACCTAGACTAGAGGGCAGTGGCACAATCTTGGCTCACTGCAACCTCTGCTTCTCAGGTTCAAACAATTCTTGTGCCTCAGCCACCTGAGTACCTGGGACTACAGGCGCTTGCCATCATGCCTGGCTAATTTTTGTATTTTTAGTAGAGATGGGGTTTCGCCATGTTGGCCAGGCTGGTCTCGAACTCCTGGCCTCAAGCAATCTGCTCGCCTTAACCTCCCAAAGTGCTGGGATTACAGGTGTGAGCCACTGCCCCGGCTGTAAATAACTGTTGAAGACTTAACATTTATTTTGAGTATGCACATGTTTGTCTCATTTAATAGACCAATGGGGTGAGAGCTACAATAATCTCCAGTTCACAGACGGGAAATTGAGGTTCAGGGAGATGAAATGGCCTGCCCCAGAGGCACCCACTGAGAAATGGCAGAGACTGGATTTGTACCCAGGTCTGAGTGATCCCAACTGAGTCCCCCTCACCACCACAAGGAGAGTGCCCTGCTGCACCTGAAGGTAAGGCCAGATCTGCCCGACACTTGGCATCCTGTTTAGGAGGCCCAGGGTGCGGGTGGCAGCTCTGGGCACAACACAATTGCCTGGGGACATTGTGAGCAGAAGTAGTGTGGCTTCATGGGGAACTCAAAAGAGGAAAGAGAGAGAATCAGAACTTTCAGTGTTAGTCTAAGAGGCCCAGAGACTTGGAAGGTTCCTTAAGACAGCACGAGTCTCACCTCCAACCAATACTTGTTCTCTCCCAATCACGGCAGCTCTGGAAAACCTTCATGCAGCACCTGCTCGAAAGCCCCTGGAGACAGGGTGCTCGTTACCTCTCAGGGCAGCCCAACTAACAGCAGCACACAGGAGAAGTTGTGAGGGAGTTTTTCATTGTCATTGCCTGCAGGCATCTCCATTGGAATAATCTTCCTGGAGAGTGACTTAGCCATTGGGTGCCATGGCTCACACCTGTGATTCCAGCACTTCGGGAGGCCAAGGCTGGAGGATTGCTTGTGCCCAGGAGTTCGAGACCAGCCTGGGCAACAGAATAAGACTGCTCTCTATCAGAGAAAGAAAGAAAGAGAGAGAGAGAGAAAGAAAGAAAAAGAAAAAGAGAAAGAAAGGAAAGAAAGAAGAAAAAGAAAGAAAGGGAAAGAAAGAGAGGGAGGGAGGGAAGGCAGGAAGGAAGGAAGGAAGGAAAGGAGGGAGGGAGGGAGGGAGGGAGGGAAGAAAGTGACTTGGCAATTGATAAATGTCAATCTTTTTTTTTTTTTTTTTTTTTTTTGAGATAGAGTCTCACTCTGTCATCCAGGCTGGAGTGCAGTGGTGCGATCTCAGCTCACTGCAACCTCCACCTCCCAGGTTCAAGTGATTCTCCTGCCTCAGCCTCCCAAGTAGCTGGGATTACAGGTGCCTGTCATCACACCTGGCTAATTTTTGTATTTTTAGTAGACATGGGGTTTCATCATGTTGGCCAGGTTGGTCTCGAACTCCTGACTTCAAGTGATCTGCCCGCTTTGGCCTCCCAAAGTGTTGGAATTACAGGCATGAGCCACTGCTCCTGGCCATAAATGTCAATCTTAAGAGCCTTGAAAACACATGTACCCTTTGCACCACCAATGTTGCTCTGGAGCTTTTCTAAAGTAAAGAAGAGAAGACTTGAGCATCAGCATGTTTACTACAGTGATCTTCACAATTGTGCAACAGTTGAAAACAGCATAGGTGTTCAACAACAGGGGATTAAGCAAATAGTTCACGAGGCCTCCTATGAAATATTTTGCTATGCAGACATTTAACACCCTGTTTCAATGACATTAAAACTACACAAAGTGGCTGGGCGCAGTGGCTCATGCCTGTAATCCCAACACTTTGGGAGGCTGAGGAGAGTGAATCACCTGAGGTCAGGAGTTTGAGACCAGCCTGGCCAACATGGTGAAACCCCATCTCTACTAAAAGTACAAAAAATTAGCCAGATATGGTGGCATGTGCCTGTAATCCCAGCTACTTGGGAGGCTGAGGCAGGAGAATTGCTTGAACCCGGGAGGTAGAGGTTGCAGTGCACTGAGATTGCGCCACTGCACTCCAGCCTGGGCAACAGAGCAAAACTTGTCTCAAATAAATAAATAAATAAAAAATATTAGCCAGGTGTGGTGGTGCATGCCTGTAATCCCAGCTATTCTGGAGGCTGAGACAGGAGAATCACCTGAACCCAGGAGGTTGCAGTGAGCCAAGATCACACCACTGTACTCCAGCCTGGGCGACAGAGCAAGACTCTGTCTCAAAAACAAACAAACAAACAAAAAACCAACCAACAAACAAACTACATAAAGAGGCCGGGTGCAGTGGCACAAGCCTATAGTCCCAGCTTACTAGGGAGGCTGAAGGAGGAGGATAGATTGAGCCCAAGAGTTCAAGATCAGTCAGGGCAAAATCTTGAGACCTGCATCTCTTAAAAAAACTACACAAAGTATATATAATAAATAAAAAAACAGATTTGACACTCATTTATAAGTATAATCCCAAGTGTGTGTGTGTGTGTGTGTGTGTGTGTGTGTGTATGTATATGTTTACTTTTCTTTTATCTTTTATTTTTTTGAGAGAACGCCTCAAGCCTCCCAAGCCAACCTCCTACCTCAGCCTCCCAGGTAGCTGGAATTACAGGTGCACGCCACTATGCCTGGCTAATTTTTTTGTATTTTTAGTAGAGATGGGGTTTCATCATGTTGGCCAGGCTGGTCTCGAACTCCTGACCTCAAAGTGATCCACCTGCCTTCGCCTCCCAAAATGCTGGGATTACAGGAGTGAGCCACGCACGCCTGGCCCCTAAGTGTATATTTTAAACATATATTTATATCTGTGTGGGAAACAGTCTAGAAAAATATATGTGGAATCAGTTTTCTCTAGGATAAAGGAATTAGGCCCATGTGGTGGGTTACACCTGTAATTCCAGCACTTTGGGAGGCCGATGCAGGAGGATCACTTGAGCCCAGGAGTTCGAGACCAGTCTGGGCAACATAGCAAGACTCCATCTCTAAAAAAATTTTAAAACAAGCTGGGTGTGGTGGCACCTGCCTGCAGTCCCAGCCTCTCGGGAGGCTTGGGTGGCAAGATGTCTTGAGCCCGGAAGTTTGAGGCTGCAATGAGCCACGATTGCACCACTGCGCTCAAACCCGAGCGACTCTGACTCTTAAAAAACATTTTTTTAATAGTCTGAAAACCACATTATTCAACATAAATAAATAAATCCTGCCCTCTACCCCTGTAATGGATGAAAAGTATCTGTCCCCCCAAAATGCAGGTGTTGAAACCCTCCCAGTGTGATGGTATTGGGAGGTGGGAGCTTTGGGAAGTAATTGGGTCATTCAGGTGGAGTCCTCAGGAATGAAATTAGTGCCCGTATAAGAAGACACCAGAGAGGTAGCTAGCTCTCTTCATCATATGAGAATACAAGAAGTCAGCAGTCTGCAACCTGGGAGGGGCCCTTACCAGAACCCCACGATGCTGGCACCCTGATCTTGGCTGTCCAGCCTCCAGAATGATGAGAAAGAAATTTTTGTTGTTTCTTTTTTTTTTTTTTTTGAGATGGAGTTTAGCTCTTATTGCCCAGGCTGGAGTGCAATGGCACAATCTTGGCTCACCACAACCTCCGCCTCCTGGGTTCAAGTGATTCTCCTGCCTCAGCCTCCCGACTAGCTAGGATTACAAGCATGTGCCACCACGCCCGGCTAATTTTGTATTTTTAGTAGAGATGGGATTTCTCCATGTTGGTCAGGCTGGTCTTGAACTCCCCACCTCAGGTGATCCACCCGCCTCGGCCTCCCAAAGTGCTGGGATTACAGGCATAAGCCACTGTGCCCGGCCTAATTTTTGTTGTTTCCAAACCACCCAATCTATGGTACTTTGTGTAAACCAAAAATAAATTTCTTTCTTTCTTTTTTTTTTTTTGAGATGGAGACTTGCTCTGTGGCTCAGGCTGGAGTGCAGTGGCATGATCTTGACTCACTGCAACCTCCGTCTCCCAGGTTAAAGCAATTCTCCTGCCTCAGCCTCCTGAGTAGCTGGGATTATAGGCGCCCGCCACCGTGCCTAGCTAATTTTGGTATTTTTAGTAGAAACGGGGTTTCACCATGTTGGCCAGGCTTGTCTCGAACTCCTGACCTGCAGTGATCTGCCCGCCTTGGCCTCCCAAAGTACTGGATTATAGATGTGAGCTGCCGTGCTCAGCCCAAAAATAAATTTCTAAGCACCCCCGCAACTGTCTGAATGGACTTCCTTCTTGGCCAGGGCGCTCTTAAAATTTAACCTGAGAGACTGGTTGAGTCCATGATGGGAAGTGGGGGTTGACATGCCTCATTATACCTCTCCAGCATTAACATCAACATAGACCTTAAATCTGATAAGAAGCATTTGTAATCAGTTCTCTCTGAAGGCCTCATCTGCATGATAAAACTTTGGTCTCCACAACCTCTTATTGCAACCCAGACATTTCCTAGGTATTTTTTTTTTTAATTTTGTATTTGAGACCAAGTCGCTCTGTCTCCCAGGCTGGAATGCAATGGCGCGATCTCAGCTAACTGCCAACTCCGCCTCTTGGGCCCAAGTGATTCTCCTGCCTCAGCCTCTCGAGTAGCTGGGACTACAGGCAAGCATCTTTTTGTATTTTTAGTAGAGATGGGGTTTCACCATGTTCAAGACCCGGCTGGTCTTGAACTCCTGACTTCAGGTGATCCACCCGCCTCGGCCTCCCAAAGTGGTGGGATTACAGGCGTGAGCCACCTCGCCCGGCCTTTGAGTACTTTTCTATGGGCTGTTACCACTGTTGCCATTAACAAAATCATTAAATCAGTTTTGGGAAGACTGCACATTAGTCTCATTTTGGGGTCTCCTATATGTAGTGGATAAGAATTAAGTCTTTGGGGCTTGGCATGGTGGCTCATGCCTGTAATCTCAGCGCTTTGGGAGGCCAAGTTGGGTGGATCACCTGAGGTCAGAAGTTCGAGACCAGCCTGGCCAACATGGTGAAACCCCATCTCTACTGAAAATATAAAAATTAGCCGGGCATGGTGGCACACGCCTGTAGTCCCAGCTACTAGGAGGCTGAGGCAGGAGAATCGCTTGAACCCGGGAGGCGGAGGTTGCAGTGAGTGGAGATCACACCACTGTACTCCAGCTTGGGTTACAGAGTGAGACTCTCTCAAAAAAAAAAAAAAGAATTAAGTCTTTGGATGAGCTCAACCCAGGTTCACTACTCACTTCAGTTTGACCTTGGGCAAGTCACATGTCTTCTCCGTCCATCTTTAAATGGGACTAGGGATTTCCTGGGTCTCTCCGGTTGTTGTGAAGATTAAATGAGGAAGTACACGTAAGGTCCTGGGACACATACATGCTCAATAGCTAGAGGTTAGATATTGTTCTCAGGGGTGGAACCTACAGGAACACAGATTGCTCAGTGGTCAGATGCAGCACACCCTGGGTGACTGGTCACATATGAGGCACAGCAATGTCCACAGAGGGTCATATGATCTGAAGGAAGGGAGGGTCAAAGGCCATGCACTGGGGCAATGCTGTTACAGCAGTGGGACCCACTTAGCACTGAGTGGGTGGTTGCTGACGTGGGTCTGCATGTGATACGGTTTGGCTGTGTCCCCACCCAAAATCTCATCTTGAATGGTAATCCCCGTAATCCCCATATGTCAAAGGAGAGACCAGGTGGAGGTGATTGAATCATGGGGGGTGGTTCCCCCATACTGTTCTCATGATAGTGAGTGAGTTCTCATGGGACCTGATGGTTTTATAAGTGTTTGGTAGATCCTCCTGCATTCATTTCTCCTTCCTGCCACCCTGTGAAGAGGTGCCTTCTGCCATGATTGTAAGTTTCCTGAGGCCTCCCCAGCCATGCCGAACTGCGAGTCAATTAAACCTCTTTTCTTTATAAATTACTCAGTCTCTGGCAGTTCTTTATAACAGTATGAAAATGGACTAATACAGGGTGCTTTCTGCCTGGGGAGCTCTATCTTTTCAGCCTGCCTGGTGGCCTTGGATGGTAGGGACCTCAAAAACTGGCTGGAAGTGGGGGGTGGCCCCTGGACAGGGGCTGGGGAAAGGAGGTAGACAGACCAAGATACTGAGATGTGAAGTCTGCCCTTTGTCTGTGACTGCAAGCATGCTGAAGGTCTAAGGAGGTGGCACTAGGGGCCAGTGTGGAGAGGCTTTCATTTCTTCCAGGCTCAGCGAGGGAAGGTCGCTTTCCTAAGGTCACACAGCCAGCAAATAGTGGAGCTGGATTTAGAACTCAATTCTGTCTGACTCCACAACTCCATGCTCCTGCTGAAGTCAAAATAAAAATACAGTGATGACTCTCTAAATTTAGCGTTTTATTTGGGAAGGAAGAATTACAATATGGGGCATACACATAGATTGGGTGGTTTTCAGTATGTTTGAAGAACAAAGAGCAGGTTGGATGTTTTATAAAAAGGAGAAAGGGGCTGGTCATGGTGGCTCATGCCTGTAATCTCAGTGCTATGGAAGGCCTAGGCAGGAGGATCATTTGAGCCCAGGAGTTTGAGACTAGCCTGATCAACACAGTGAGAACCCACTCTACCAAAAATAAAAATAAAAATTAGCCAGGCATTGTGGCGCATGCCAGTAGTCTCAGCTATTTGGGAGGCTGAAGCAGGAGGATCGCTTGTGTCCAGGAGGTTGAGGCTGCAGTAAGCTACGATCACACCACTGCAGTTCAACCTGGGCAACAGAGCAAGGCCCCGTCTCAAAAAAAACCGAAACGTATTGTCTTGAAAAAAAGTTCATTGGCACTAGCAAAGTTTTGGGGAGCTGGAAGCTGTGATTGGTGAGTCACAGGGGTGGGTAAAGCTACTCTTAGAGTTGCAGCAGGGTGTTTCAGTAGCTATGAGATAAAACTAGTCTTAGGGTAACAACAGGCAGTTTCAGCAGCTGGGCTTCTGCAAAATTTAATTCTTGGAGCAGGTGCCATGTGCTCTGAGTGCCTTCTCTGCCTGGATATGACAAGAATGACTCACTTTGTATATAATCAACTGTCACACTCCTAACCATCACCCCACACCGCTGCCTGGTGAAAACGCTGATTGCCCTTGCTTCTGGCTGGTGATTTATTTTTTATTTGTAATTTTTTTTTTTTTTTTTTTTTTTTGGAGAAACACAGTCTCATCATCTTGCCCAGGCTGGTCCTGAACTCCTGGGCTCAAGTGATCCTCCCGCCTCAACCTCCCAAAGTGCTGAGATTCCAGGCACAGAGCCATTGTGTCCAGCCTGTTTGGTAAATTTTTTTTTTTTTTTTTTTCTGAGACAATCTCTCTCTCTTGCTCAGGCTGGAATACAGTGGCACAATCTTGGCTCACTGCAACCTCCATTTCCCAGGTTCAAGCCATTCTCATGTCTCAGCCTCCCGAGTAGCTGGGATTACAGGTGACTGCCACTACGCTTGGCTAATTTTGGTATTTTTAGTAGAGACAGGGTTTCACCATGTTGGCCAGGCTGGTCTCGAACTCCTGACCTCAAGTGATCCGCCTGCCTCGGCCTCGCAGAGTGCTGGGATTACAGGCATGAGCCCCTGCAGCTGGCCAGAAAATAATTTAAGTCTTGATCGTCAAATGTGGGAGCAATGCAGCTCTTGACCATCAGCACAGCTGAGGACCGCTGTGTGTCCCTTGTCTGGGGGACTCTGGTTTCCTTTCACCCTCCAGGAGAGGCTGAGGAAGGAATGATTTCTGGGGAGCTTCTAGCAGTGCAGGGGTCACCAGGCCAGCTGGGTCGGCTGGGATTTGCCTCAGCAGTCCTCAGATCGCAGCCTGTCCTCTGCCCAGCTGTGACTCCCCAGTGTCCCTGGCCATCTCCAGAGGCCTCCACCTACTCCTTCAAGGCCGGGCCCCTCCCTCCTTCCCTTGCTCCCTCTGTTCCTGACCTCCAGGGACACAGACGCCTACCCAACCTTGCCCAACACTTGGTCCTGATCTTGTCCCGCCCCAGCTGTCAGTTATCAGGCCTCAGAGGAGGGGACAACACCTCACACCCCAAAACCCCAGCTGCCTGCTCTTCCCCAGCTTTCATTCGTGAGTGTGCAGGAGGGGACGGGGAGGGAAGGAATTATGTCAATATCGTGAAAGAAAATGAGGCAGCTACAACTAAGGCTTTCTAAAGTGGGAGTCGGGAGACCGTGGGAGGATCGCACTCACACCGGCTGAAGGTCAAATCGCAGAATGTGCCAGTCGGTTTGGCTAACAATTGAAGTCAGAATCCACCGCCTTCAACCTCTCTTAGCTGGGAGTACCCTAATGAACTAACCAATCAGAATGGGCTTGCGATAGAGGATTTCCGCCCAGCCAATGAACTGCCTCCGAAACAACTTTTTGTGGAAATCCCTTATAAAAAACCTCTCCTGCCCTTGCCTTACGGGATGCTATTCAGGGCTGCCCTGAATAGTCCTATCTGATTCAGTGTACGCGAGTCGTAGTTCTTTGTTTCCTATATAAATGCTATTTCTTTTGACCTCCGTGTCAATCTCTTTTTTTAGTTAACAGCATAGACCAGTTTTTGTTCTTTTTTTTTTTTTTCAGACAGAGTCTCACTCTGTTCCCCAGGCTGGAGTGCAATGGCGAGATCTCAGCTCCCTGCAACCTCTGCCTCCCAGGTTCAAGCGATTCTCCTGCCTCAGCCTCCTGAGTAGCTGGGATTACAGGCGCCATCCTGCCCAGCTAATTTTTGGTATTTTTAGCAGAAACGGGGGTTTCACCATGTTGACCAGGCTGGTCTTGAACTCCTGACCTCAAGTGATCCGCCTACCTTGGCCTCCCAAAGTGCTGGGATTACAACAGGTGTGAGCCACCATGCCCAGCCCCTAAAGATTCTTTAAAACTCCAGCTGAGGCCGGGCGCGGTGACTCACGCCTGTTGTAATCCCAGCACTTTGGGAGGCCAAGGCGGATGGATCACTTGAGGTCAAGAGATGGAGATGATCCTGGCCAACATGGTTGAAACCCCGTCTGTACTAAAAATACAAAAATTAGCTGGGTGTGGTGGTGTGTGACTGTAGTCCCAGCTACTTGGGAGGCTGAGGCAGGAGAATCCCTTGAACCCAGGAGGTAGAGGTTGCAGTGAGCTGAGATGGTGCCACTGCACTCCAGCCTGGCAACAGAGCAAGACTCCATCTCAAAACAAAACAAAACAAAAACCCAGCTGAGTGTTCAGGGCCCTGGTTGGTGCATGCCTTGTGTGGAGTAGCACACGTCATTTCCAATGTACTCAGCCTGCTGTTCTAACTCAGCACTTGTCCTTATCCGACATTGCATCTCAGCTTGTTTATGTGCTTATTGTCTTTTTCCATTGTCAGAATGAAAAAGCTCTGCTCATTCTACACGTTTAAGGAGCACCTACTGTGTGCCTGGTCCTGGTCTAGATACTGAGGACACAGCACTGAATATCACAGCCCTAAACCCCTGCCTCATGGAGTTTAGACTCAATTTTGGGGAAACAGAGAATGAAAAAATTAATAAGCCAAATAAGTAATGAGTTAGATGGTGTTAGATGCTATAGAGAGAATAAATTATGGCGGGTGGGGGGTGGTAAGATGTGCAACTTGGGAGTTAGGGGAGAAGTCTGAATTTTAAATAGGGTGGTCAGGGCCAGGCTTGGTGGCTCATGCCTGTAATCCCAGCACTTTGGGAGGCCATGGTGGGGAGATTGCTTGAGGCTAGGAGTTTGAGACCAGCTTGGGCAACATAGCAAGACCATTTCTCTAAAAAAAAAAAAAAATGTTTTTTTAATTAGCTGGGTGTGGTGTGTGTGCTGTAGTCCCAGCTACTTGAAAGACTTTGGTGGGAGGATTGCTTGAGACCAAGAGGTCAAGGCTGCAGTGAGCTATGATTGAGACACTGCACCCCAGCCTGGGTGGCAGAGTGAGACCATATCTCTAAAATTATAATAATAATAATATTAATAGAGTGGTTAGGAAGGGCCTTCCAAAGAAGGTGACAGCAAGTGCAAAGGTCCTGCAATAGAACCATGCTTGGGATGTTTTAAGAACATCAAGGAGGCCAGGGTGGATGGAACAGAGTAAGTGATGGGGAGATGATGGCAGATGAGTCAGAGAAAAGGAAGAGGAGGTCAGATCTGTAGGCTCCTGGGTTATGGTAAGGACTTTAGTTTTTAGAGATATGGGGAGCCATGGGAGGGTTTAGAGCAGGGGAGGTGCATTATCCAACTTGAGTCTAACATGATCCCTCTGGCTGTCATGATGAAAATTGATTTAGCATCCATGACAATTCTCAGCTATATCAGTCATTACTATAATTGCAAAATGGTTTTTCTTTTCTTTTCTTTTTTTTTTTTGAGACAGGGTCTTGCTCTGTCACCCAGGCTGGAATGCAATGGTGTGATCATAGCCTGCAGCCTCGAACTCCTGGGCTTAAGCGATTCTCCCACCTTAGCTTCCCTGGTAGCTGAGACTACAGGAACACATTATCACACCCAGCTAATTTTTAATTTTTTTGTAGAGACAGAGTCTCAAACTCCTGGCCCCAAGCAATCCTCCTGCCTCAGACTCCCAAAATGCTGGGATTACAAGTATGAGCCACTGCGCCTGGCTGCAAAACGATTTTTCTAACTCTATCATTTTATTTATTTATTTATTTTTCGAAATGGGGTCTGACTATGTTCCCCAGGCTGGTACTATCATTATTTTGATATTGATAGTTGGCATTCTCCAAAAAAGAAGAACAGAGTCATCCTGGGATCATTCTCTCCCTCCACCCCCTGGCCAATCACTTTCCTTTTACTTATTTATCCTCAGCACTCAATAGGTTTTTATTTAAGTCAGTGTTTCTAAATACATTAGTATTGTTATTTTTATGCTCAAACTGTCCCAATTTTAGCCAGTAGGAGCTTCTTCAAGCTGGTTGCTGGCTTTCTGACATGTTCCCATCATTCTTTGAGCACCTTGCTTTGGGGCAAAACAAGATGTTCCAGGCCCACTTTGCACTTTCTCTGACCCTGGAGTCAACCATTTCTCCTAGAGCCCTGGATCCCTTGAGTGGAAATGAGGATCTGGGCACTGGATGCTTTCATTGTTTCTTTTTATATTCTCTTTTCTTTCTTCCTTCCCTCCCCTCCTTACCCCTCCCCTCCGTCCCTCCCCCCCCTTCCTTCCTTCCTTCCTTCCTTTTTCTTTCTCCTTCCTTCCTTTCTTCTTTCCTTCCTTCCTTTCTTCCTTTCCTTCCCTTCCTTCCCTTCCCTTTCCCTCCCTCCCTCCCTTCCCTCCTTCCTTCTTTCCTTCCTACCTTCCTTCCCTCCTTTCTGTCTTTCTGCCTTTCTTTCTCTTTCCTCTCTTTCTTTCTGTCTTTCCTCTCTTTCTTTCTCTCCCTCCCTCTCTCCCTCCCCTCCCCTGCCCTCCCCTCCCTCCCTCCCTCCCTTCTTTCCTTCCTTCCTTCGTTCCTTCCTTCTTTCCTTCCTTCCTTCCTCTCTTTCTTTCTCTTTCTTCTGAAACAGTGTTTTGCTGTGCTGCCCAGGGTGGAGTGCAGTGGCGCAACCATGGCTCACTGCAGACTTGACCTCGCAGGCCCAAGTGATCCTCTTACTTCAGCCTTCTGAGAGGCTGAGACTACAGGTGCATGCCACAATACTGGCTGATTTTTTTTTTTTTTTTTTTTTTTTTGGTACAGACAAGATCTCACTATGTTGCCCAGATTGGTCTCAAGTTACTGACCTCAAGCAATCCTCCTGCCTCAGCCTCCCAAAGTTCTGGGATTACAGGTGTGAGCCACTGCGTCCAGCCTACACTCATTGTTTCTGGGGTGTCATTGTCCCTGGTGTCACTCAGTGGACAGAGCCAGGAATGACATAGATATGTTTCCAGATTTTGACATATCAATATGAAAAGTCATGAGTTCCTACTGATACCTCTAAATCCAGCCTAATATCACAGTATTCTTCCTGGGCTTGTAGCTTTCCATGTTTGTATTTTTCTTTTCCTATGGTGATACACCTGGATCCCAAATCAGCACTATATTTATTAATTTGCTTAATCCTAAAATACAAGAGAATGGTTTCAAACTTGTTATACTACTGTGAAAAAAACAAACCTATGACATAAAATTTAAGATTCAGGCTGGGCATGGTGGCTCACACCTATATCCCAGAACATTGGGAGGCTGAGGCAGGCAGATCACTTGAGGTCAGGAGTTCAAGACCAGCCTGGCTAACATGATGAAACCTCATCTCTACCAAAAATACAAAATTAGTGGTGGGCACCTGTAATCCCAGCTACTTGGGAGGCTGAGGCAGGAGAATTGCTTGAACTCAGGAGGCGGAGGTTGCAGTGAGCCGAGATCGCACCACTGCACTTCAGCCTGGGCGACAGAGTGAGACTCCATCTCAAAAAAAAAAAAAAAAGAATTTAAGATTCAGTTGTCCTTCCTTCCTCCCTCTCTCCCTCCTTCCTTCTCTTCTTCCCTCCCTCCCTCCACTCCTCCCTCCCTCCCTCTCTCCCTCCTTCCTTCCCTTCTTTCCTCCCTCCCTCCCTCCACTCTTCCCTCCCTCCCTCTCTTCCTACCTTAGATTGAAGGTATGCAGTTGAAGAACTGTGTTAAAAAGTTACTTGGGGCCAGACGCAGTGGCTCACACCTGTAATCCCAGCCGAGATCAGTCTTAAAAAAAAAAAAAAGGTAGTTGGGTTACTTCTCCCCAGACCCCCATTCCTTTTAGTGTGCTTATGTTTATTTAAATACAGTCAGGATTATTTGTTTCTCTTTGTGTTCATCTTTAGGGGTTTTCTCCATTCTATTGAGTTGAATGGATTTTTTTGTTTGTTTGTTTTCAGAGACAGGGTCTCACTATGTTGCCCAGGCTGGTCTTGAACTCCTGGGCTCAAGTGATCCTCTCACCTCAGACTCCCAAAGTGCTGAGATTACAGGCATGAGCCACTGTGCCCAGCCTCTTCATTCTCTTTTTTTTTTTTTTTTTTTTTTGAGATGGAGTCTCACTCTGTCACCTGGGCTGGAGTGCATTGGTGTGATCTTGGCTCACTGCAACTTCCGCCTTCTGGGTTCAAGTGATCCTCCTGCCTCAGCCTCCCGAGTAGCTGGGACTACAGGCGCCTGCCACGATGCCTGGCTAATTTTTGTATTTTTAGTAGAAATGGGGTTTCCTCATATTGGCCAGGCTGATCTTGAACTCCTGACCTTGTAATCCACCCGCCTCGGCCTCCCAAAGTGCTGTGATTACAGGCGTGAGCCACTGCACCCGGCCTCATTCTTTTTTATAGCTGCATAGTATTCCATTTCCCAGCTGTTGTGTGGTTTATTTAATGAAGCTTCTATGTATGGGCTTGAAAGTGTTTCCAACAGTTTAAAATTACAAACAATGCTGCAATAAATAACCTTATGGATAAATACTTAGAGGTGGGATTGCTGGGTCAGAGGTAGATGCCCTTGGTGTTTTGTTAGACATTACTCTTCCTGTCTTTTGCATACCCACTAGCAACGTGCATGTGCCTGTTTCTCCAGGCTCACCAACAGGGTATGTTGTCAAGCTTCTAAACTTTTTTTTTTTAATCTCATAGAAAGAAATGATATCTCAGTGTAGTTTATTTAAAGTTTTTTTTTTTGTTTTTTTTTTTGAGAGGGAGTCTTGCTCTGTCACCCAGGCTGGAGTGCAGTGGTGCGATCTCAGCTCACTGCAACCTCCGCCCCCGGGGTTCAAGCGATTCTCCTACCTCAGCCTCCCGAGTAGCTGGGATTACAGGCATGCTGTAATTTTTTTTTGTATTTTTAGTAGAGACGGGGTTTCACCATCTTGGCCAGGCTGGTCTTGAACTCCTGACCTCATGATCCACCCGCCTCGGCCTCCCAAAGTGCTGGGATTACAGGCGTGAGCCACTGTGTCCGGCCCTAAAGTTTTTGTTTTTGAAAACATGTACTCTTTATCTAGTTTCTCCCAGTGATAACAACTTATGTAACCAGAGTATAAATATCAAAATCAGGAAATTGACTTTGATATGGAACTTTTTTTTTAACTTTTAAAAATTTTTTGAGACAGGGTCTCACTCTGTTACCTAGGCTGGAGTGCAGTGATACAATCTCAGCTCACTGCAACCTCCGCCTCCCAGGTTCAAGCAATTCTCGTGCCTCAGCCTCCCGAGTAGCTGAGATTACAGGCGTGTGCCACCATGCCCAGATAAATTTTTTTTGGATTTTTAGTAGAGATGGGGTTTCACCATCTTGCTCAGGCTGCTCTTGAACTCCTGAGCTCAAGCGATCCTCCCACCATGGCCTCCCAAAGTGCAGGGATTACAGGCATGAGCCCCCGAACCCGGCCTGATATGGTACTTTAAATTACAAATCCCAGCACTTTGGGAGGCCATGGTGGGAGGATCGCTTGAGCCCAGGAGTTTGAGACCAGTCAAGCAACAAAGTAAGACTCCATCTCTTCAAAAACTCAAAAAAATTAACCAGGTGTGGTGGTGCATGCCTGTAGCCCAGCTACCTAGGAGACTTAGGTGAGAGAATCACTTGAGCCTGAAAGATTGAGGCTACAGTGAGCTATGATTGCACCACTGCATCCCAGCCTGGACGACAAAGTGAGACCCTGTCTCAAACCCAAGAAAACAAAAATCAAAAAACTAAATTACAGACCTTATTTCAGCAGTCTTTACATGCACTCTATTTTCACTGTATATTTCTTACTTCTTCTCCTTCTCCTTCTTCTGGACAGAGTCTCACTCTGTCGCCCAGGCTGGAATGCAGTGGCATGATCTCGGTTCACTGCAACCTCCACCTCCCAGGTTCAAGCGAATTTCCTGCCTCAGCCTCCCCAGCAGCTGGGACCACAGGCACATGCCACCACCCGGCTAATTATTTTGTATTTTTAGTAGAGATGGGGTTTCACAATGTTGGTCAGGCTGGTCTTGAACCCCTGACCTCACGTGATCTGCCTGCCTCGGCTTCCCAAAGTGCTGGGATTACAGACATGAGCCACTGCACCTGGCCTCTTCTTTTTTGAATGGTTAAGTATAGAGTTTGTTTTCACCCGAAGATTGAGGTTGGGCACTTAGGAGCATCGCTTCATGTTACCCTGAATGTACCATTCAGGGTATACGCTCTCTCACCATATATTTCTCTGAATGTTTATTTTCAGTGTAGCTTTAATTTGCATTTCTCCTATAGTGAATGAAGCAAGCATTTTTCATAAATATAATGGTCACTTCTACATCTTTGTTCATGAATTATTTGCTGATGCTTTTTGCCCATGTTTTCTGTCTGGTTTTCACATTTTCCTTCTCAAACCTTTTCTTTCTTTCTTTCTTTCTTTCTTTCTTTCTTTCTTTCTTTCTTTCTTCCTTCCTTCCTTCCTTCCTTCCTTCCTTCCTTCCTTTCTTCCTTCCCTTCCTTCCCTTTCCCTCCCTCCCTCCCTTCCTTCCTTCCTTTTCTCTCTCTTTCTCTCTCTCTCTCTCTCTTTCCTTTTTGACAACTTCTTGCTCTGTTGCCCAGGCTGTAGTGCAACTCACTGTAGCCTCGACTTCCTAGGCTCAAGCAATCCTCCCCCCTCGGCCTCCCAGTAGCTGGGACTGAGGCAGAAATTAAAATAATAATAATAATAAGTACTACATATATTCACTCCAAGAGAAGTAAGAGCTAAGGCCCAGAATGTGGCAAGGCAAGGGTTAAAAAAGAAGAAGAACAAGTTTTCCTCTGCTTAGCAGCTCACTTCAAGGACAGTTATAAGATAACGCTGTCCGAAAAGCCAAGGCCAGAGGACTGGGCTCCAGACCCCGCCCTCCACCCCACCGCCCGCCTCCAGAGCAAGGTTGAAGGAAAAAAAAGAGAGAAAGACAAATTATTTTATTGCTATTCCTTTCCTTGGTCTCTTAAGCATGACTATGTTTTACAAACCTCTCTATTTAGCCAGTTCTTGTTTTACTTTTGATGCAGCTACAAGGCCACCAGCTATGCAAGGCCACAAGTTATGCACTATATGATTAACTACTTTTGTTTTACCTTTCTAAGCTTGCTTATAAAAACCCCACAATATCTTTGTTCTAGGCTCAGCTTTTTGGATGTGAATCCACTGAGCCAGTGCGTACGTTGAAATAAACATCCTCCTGTTCTCTCATATTGGTCTCTCCGTTCCTCAGTTTCCCACAACAGGACTACAGGTGTGCACCACCAAGCTCAGCTAATTTTTATATTTTATAGAGACAGAGTCTTGCCAGGTTTCCTAGGCTGGTCTCAAACTCCTGGGCTCAAGCATTCCTCCCACCTTGGCCACCCAAAGTGCTGTGATTACAGGCATGAACCACTCACCTGGCCTTCCCTCTCAAATTTTAAGAGTTCCTGATATATTATATGATATATGTTGAGATATATATACATATATATATGTAATGTATATATATGATATATGTTGCAAATAGTTTCTCCTGGTCTGTCAGATGTCTTTTGACTTTGCTTATTGAGTTTTTTGACATGAAAAAGTTAAAAAATTTATACAGTCAAATGCATTAATCTTTTATTGCATCTAGGTTTTTTTTTTTTTTTTTTTCTTTTGAGACAAGGTCTCATTCTGGTTGCTCAGGCTGGAGTGCAGTGGTGCAATCTCGACTCTCTGCAGCCTCGACCTTCCGGGCTCAGGTGATTTTCCTACCTCAGTCTCCCGAGTAGCTGGGACTATAGGCGCGCCTCACTGCGTCCGGCTACTTTTTTGTATTTTTAGTAGAGACGGGGGTTTCACCATGTTGCCCAGGCTGGTCTTGAACTCCTGAACTCGCCCGCCCTGGCCTCCTGGAGTGTTGGGATTACAGGCGTGAGCCACCGCGCCCGACGGCATCTAGGTTTTGAGTAGTAGTTAGACAGCTTTTTCCCACACACATGTAAAAAGGGTATTTGAGGGACAATGGGAAAAGTTGGAATAAAGACTGCATTAGATAACTGTATTAAATAAATGGCAAATACCATTAAATAAATCTGGCCGGGCGCGGTGGCTCACCCCTGTAATCCCAGCACTTTGGGAGGCTGAGGCAGGCGGATCACCTGAGGTCAGGAGTTCAAGACCAGCCTGGCCAACATGGCGAAACCCCGTCTGTACTGAAATTACATAAATCAGCTGGGCGTGGTGGTGCGCGCCTGTAATCCCACCTACTCAGGAGGATGAGGCAGGAGAATCGCTTGAACCCGGGAGGCGGAGGTGGCAATGAGCCGAGATCGCGTCACTGCACTCCAGTCTGGGCGACATATGGAGGTTTTGTCTTGTCTCAAAAAAAAAAAAAAAAAAAAACTTGGGGAAGTGTGCTAAACCGGGTTTGCGTAGGTGGAAGGGGCGGCCGGGCTCTTTAAGGTGGGTCCCGCCCCGTAGGCCTCCCCTCGCGCCAGCCCCTCCCATCCCGGAAAGGCTCAGCCCAAGCCCGGCCCCGCCCGCCCTCGGCCCCGCCCATGGCAGAGCGCAGTCACGTGACCCGGGCTGCGGGGCGCAGCATTGTGCGGTCATGGTGGGCCAGATGTACTGCTACCCCGGCAGCCACCTGGCCCGGGCGCTGACGCGGGCGCTGGCGCTGGCCCTGGTGCTGGCCCTGCTGGTCGGGCCGTTCCTGAGCGGCCTGGCGGGGGCGATCCCAGCGCCGGGGGGCCGCTGGGCGCGCGATGGGCAGGTCCCTCCAGCCTCCCGCAGCCGCTCGGTGCTCCTGGACGTCTCGGCGGGCCAGCTGCTTATGGTGGACGGACGCCACCCTGACGCCGTGGCCTGGGCCAACCTCACCAACGCCATCCGCGAGACTGGGTAAGGGTTGGCTTATCCCCACGCGGGGCCATCGGGGGAGGGGGATGCGTGGGCGCCGGACCTCGCCTGTTCCCGGGACCGGCCTCTTGCCGGGTGGGAACGCCCGTTTCTCTGGGGGTCAGCTACTCCCGAGGCTGCAGCACCGCCCTGCGGGCCAAGTACCCTGTTTGGGAGCTGGCTACTGCGGCATCCCTCACCTCATGGGGCCAGTCCCTTGCCTTCAGCCAGTGGTGACAGTACTTCTGTCCCCAAGAAGCCAGTTCCCTACCACCGAGGCCGCAGTGCCTGCATCTGGATCAGGTCCATGGCTGGTGGGTAAATTCTATCCTCACGGGGACCTGCTCCCTTCCCTAGACTTTGCCTCCTCACCCCATGGAGGCCAGCCCCCTGTCCCCAGGCCTGAGGGGTGATGAGAACTCAGCAGGAGACTAATTCTTACCTGCTTGGCTGTGGCTTGCTCGTGGGTGCCAGCACCCTGCCTCCCTTCCAGTGCCAGGTCAGCAGGACTGAACCTGGGTTCCAGGCTAGTCCAAAAGCAGAGGGTCCCTAAAGTCACATAGACCCATTTAGTATCCTGCTAGGGCTCTGCTCCTCCCTTGTCTTCTGTGTCCTGGTCCAAGGGGAAGTCCTTGGCTGGATGCCGTGTTTGGCAGCCATGCTCACCATCTTTATTGCTGGAACCCAGGCTGTCATTCTGATGTGTGAGTCTCACCTAACTCCTCCGCCTGTCTGGGCTCCCGTTTCCCCATCTGTGGCCCAGATTTTGAGGATGTGCTCTAGTTGGGTGGTCATGTGCTGCAAGTTCTGTACAAGGGCTTGTGCCCATTCATTTATTCATTACCCTGATGGTTGGCCTTAGGGACACAGCTGAGCAGCTGTCTCTACTCAGTGGGAAACACAGACAGCGATAGAAGAGAAATCAGAGTCAGTGGGAGTGGGAAGGATCAGCTTCAAAGCCTTGTCAGCAGGGCCCAGACGCTGGATCAGGCTGTGCTGGGGGATCCTAGGGAACCCGGGGTGCATCCGTCATATCCTAGTGTCCAGATGATGCTAGGGAACCCTAGCACTAGGATGTGCCCAGGATGTGGTCTGTGCTCAGACCACACTGCCCCCTGCAGCAGAAAGGGCCTCCTCCCACTTTAGCCCCTATCCATTTTACTGGCATCCATTGGCTTCTGCAGGTGTTAGGGAGACACAGGATGCCGAGGACACCCCCATTCTGGTGGCACTTGGGGGGTACATCAAGTAGACGTGAGATTTGGGGGAGATATTTGCACAGACACAGGGGCACTGGTTGGGGTAAATCTGGGAAGGCTCCCAGAGAGAGGAGGCCACAGAGTGAGCTGGCATCTGTGGAGGGAACTGAAGCTTTGTGGCTGGCCTCGGGGGCTGCCGGGACTCTTGGATCTGGTGACCCGTTCTTTGCTGACTCACTCATGTTTTTGGCCCTGCATAGCAGAATCAAGAGGACATGACAGAACTGTTCAGGCGAGGAGGGGCAGGAGCGAGGCCCAGCATGGGGAGGGGGCTTTGGCCTCTGGAGGCCCCTCCTGGGCTGTGTTGCTCTTGACTATGGTAAACATGGAAGTGGAGAGAAGGCTTCCTTGATTGTGCTGGATGGAAAGTTCTTCCAGGCTCAGCCCCTCTGCTGTGTGACCTTGGGCAAATCCCTTCACCTCTCTGAGCATGTTCCCTCATATCAAGGTAGGACCAAAAGGGTCATGGAAATTCACTGGGGTCACAGAAAGCACTGTTTATTTATTTTTATTTGTATTTTATTTTTTGAGACACAGTTTCACTCCGTTGCCCAGCTGGAGTGCAGGGGCACGATATTGGCTCACTGCAACCTCCCCACCCTGGGTTCAAGCGATTCTCGTGTCTCAGCCTCCCAAGTAGCTGGAATTACAGGTGTGTGCCACCATGCCCGGCTAATTTTTGTATTATTAGTAGAGATGGGGTTTCACCATGTTGGCCAGGCTGGTCTCAAACTCCTGACTTCAGGTGATCTGCCCATCTTGGACTTTCTGGCTTGTTTTCGGCACCCTCTCTCATCCCCTCCTCTTACGCTCACATGCCCCTTTCCCTTTGAGTTTGCCAGCCCTTGAGGCTCTGATGCAGGGAAAACCATAAAGCGAGCCCCATTTTATAGGCAGGAAACTGAGGTCCTCAGAGACAGCTGCTTGAGGACTCAGGGTCAGATGAAAGAAAGCCATAGGGGGTGTCCTGGCTCCTGATCAGCAGAATCTCTGATCTGTGGGGGACTCTGTGTCTTATTTCGGAGGGTGGGGGCAGGGATTTGATGCCTCTGTTCACTCAGAATTAGGATCCTCCTCCTTCCTGGTGAAATCCCCAGATTTTGCCACTGGGGATCCTGGGATTATCAGGATAAATTCTCCCTACACCATAATCCTTCGTCTTTTTTATTTTTTAAAAAAGGTTTTTTTTTTTTTGTTTTTTTTTTTTTTTTGAGACAGGGTCTCCCTGTGTTATCCAGGCTCGAGTGCAGTGGTATGATCATGGCTCACTGCAGCCTTGAACTCCCAGGCTCAAGAAATCCTCCGACCTCGGCCTCCCAAGTAGCTGGGACTATAGATACGCACCCCCATGCCTGGCTAATTTTTAAATTCTTTTTTTTTGTAGAAACAGGGGTCTTGTCATGTTGCCCAGGCTGGTCTTGAACTCCTGGGCTCAAGTGATCCTCTCACCTTAGCATCCCCAAATGTTGGGATTACAGATGTGAGCCACTGTGCTCGGTACCTTCTTTCAGTTGTGCCATATCTTGACTTTGGGCCAACACCCCCACACAGCCTGGAAACATTTATGATTTGGTGCTTGGAGATCAGAGATGTCACTAGGAGCAGAGCCTGCCTCAGTCTAGCTCTGGCCTTGGTCCTGGGGAAGCTGTATCCTCCAACCTTACTTTGTCTTCCTTCCCTGATCTGATCCCACTGACCAGCACCTTATCGACGAGGTTGCTTAAAGTAAATCACCATCCCGTTGAGAGAGGAAGTGAATCAAAGTTAGAGGGAATTAACAAATTTAGTAAACGGGGAAGCATCCCAAATCCACCAACCAACAGGCAAAAACAGCCCAGTAAAATGGATAAATAAGGCCCAGCTGTTTCTTTGAACAATCACAGGAGATGAATCTATACCATCAAGAATGAGAAAGGAGGACAGGCGCTGTAGCTCATGCCTGTAATCCCAATGTTTTGGGAGACCGAGGCAGGAGGATGGCGAGGGGCCAGGATTTCGAGACCAGCTTGGGCAATGTGGTGAAACCCTGTCTCTGCAAAAAAAAAGTAAAAAATTAGCTGGGTGTGGTTGCGCATGCCTGTGGTCCCAGCTACTCGTTTGAGCCTGGGAAGTCGAGGCTGCAGTCAGCTGTGATTGTGCCACTGCACTCCAGCCTGGGCAACAGAGTGAGACCCTGTCTCAAATAAAAAAAAAAAAAGGCTGAGATAGGAGTGATAGACACAGTTATGGGGGGCATCCCACATAATGGAGAGCATCCAAGGCCATACTAGACTGCGGAAGTGGGGTGCTGATATTTGTGAGATATTTGTGGCCCCCTGCTCATATCAGTGGTCTGACTTTTTCCAATGTGGCCTCTTTCAAGAGGCACCTTGATTAGACTCTTGAGTCATCTTAGAGACATTAGCTGCCCCTGGCATGAAATTGCAATTTGGCCCATAGATTTTCCAGGAAAAAAAAAAAAAGATTGAGGAAACAGACCTACTGCTGCCAACTTTTAATTTTTGTCAAGCAAGTGCATTAAAAACAAAGGAGAGCAATATTTGTCAACCCCTGTCAGCGTTTATCTCATAAAAGATTGGCAATTTTAGAGCAAACAAGCAGAAAGGACATACTCTCTGAATAAGGAGTAATCTTCTTTTGATTTATTTTTTTTTTTTGAGATAGAGTCTGCTCTGTTACCCAGGCTGGAGTGCAGTGGCATGATCTTGGCTCATTGCAACCTCCGCCTCCTGGGTTCAAGTGATCTTCCTGCCTCAGCCTCCCTAGTAGCTGGGATTACAGGTGTGAGCCACTATACCCAGCTAATTTTTTTTTTTTTTTTGTAATTTTAATAGAGATGGGGTTTCACCATGTTGGCCAGGCTGGTCTTGAACTCCTGACGTCAGGTGATCTGCCCACCTCAGCCTCCCAAAGTGCTGGGATTACAGGTGTGAGCTATTGTGCCTGGCCGAAGAGTAGTCTTTAATAAGCACATCTAGTTATAGACACACTCTAAAGTGTTTTTCTGGCCGGGCGCTGTGGCTTGTGCCTGTAATGCCAGCACTTTGGGAGGCCGAGGCAGGAGGATTGCTTGAGCCCAGGAGTTTGAGACCAGCCTGGGCAACATGGTGAGACCCTATCTCTGCAAAAAATATAAAAAACTAGCTGGGCACGGTGGTGCGTGCCTGTAGTTCCAGCTACTCAGAAGCTGAGACGGGAGGACTGCTTGAGTCCAGGTGAGGCTACACTGAGCTGTGATCACGCCAGTGCACTCCAGCCTGGGTGACAGAGTGAGACCCTATCTCAAACAAAACAAAACAAAACAAATTTCTAGCAGTTTAGAAAGAGGGGATGGGATATGGGAAGTAAAAGCCTCCCCCTACCATTCTTCCTAGATATAAACATTTTTAGCTTTTTTTTTTTTTTTTTTTGAGGTGGAGTCTCGCCCTGTTGCCCAGGCTGGAGTCAGTGGCGCGATTTCGGGTCGCTGCAAGCTCCGCCTCCCGGGTTCACGCCATTCTCCTGCCTCAGCCTCCCGAGTAGCTGGGACTACAGGTGCCCGCCCCCACGCCCGGCTAATTTTTTGTATTTTTAGTAGAGACGGGGTTTCACCATGTTAGCCAAGATGGTCTCGATCTCCTGACCTCATGATCCACCCGCCTCAGCCTCCCAGAGTGTTGGGATTACAGGCGTGAGCCACTGCACCCGGACTTTTAGCTCTTTCTTCCAGAATTTTCTATGCATAAAGAGGCCTAAACCTTCTTGCATACATATAAATGTAGAGGCATATGTGGTGTGTGATGCATTTACACAGGGGCTTAGTTCGTGCCTACCATTTGGACTTCTCGACTTTTTTTTGAACTTCATCTCTGACCTCTTTGCTCATCAGCACATGCAGTCCGCTATGGCATGTGTGATTATTGTATCAGGCCCCTAATGATGGGTGTTTCGGGAAGGCCCGTCTTTTCTGGCTTTGAAGAGAAGTCCTGCTGTGAAGAAGGGCCTTTATGCCCATCTCTGCAGGGCTGTATGAGCATCCGGCCAGGGAATGGGTTCCTAACCACTGCCCGTCTCCGGGGCCTCAGTGCCGAGGCCTTGGCTGAGCCCACCCTTGCTAGAAGGGGTAGCTCTCACCAGGTGTGCCCTGGAGGAGGCCACTGGCCGCTCAGTTACTACTGGGGCTCGCGGCTGCACAGCTTTTTTGGTTTTACGCAGTTTGTCCGAGGTCTCCTTTGATCCACTGCCAGCTTTTATCACGAGGGGATCTGCATATTGGGCCCTGTTATAATCTTCCTCCCATCATCACACTCGCCGGGTCTCCTCAAACTCCTACCCCCTCAGATTCTTTTTTTTTTTTTAATGAGACAGCATCTTGCTCTATTGTCTGGACTGGAGTACAGTGGTGTGATCATAGCTCACTGCAGCCTGGGCTCAAGCGATCCTCCCATCTTAGCCCCAGCCTCCTGTGACTATAGGCAAGCACCACCACACCTGGTTAATTTATTTTGTATTTTTTGTAGAGAGGGGAGTCTCGCTTTATTGTCCAGGCTGGTCTCTTACTCCTGGTCTCAAGTGATCCTCCCACCTCAGCCTCCCAAAGCACTGGGGTTACAGGCATGAGCCACTGCGCCATCTCCTCTCAGATTCTTGATGAGACAAATACTTAGTGAGTGCATAATGTGTGTTCTCTCCTGGCACATGCCACAGCAGTCCTCTGAAGGGGGAGTCACTCTGCCCATTTTACAGATGAGAAAACCGAGGCCCCGAGAGGTAAAGCAGTTTGCCCAAAGGTACACAACCAGTAAGGGATCTACCCAGGGATTCAGACCAAGTCGGAGGGACCCACAAGCCCAAACTCTTTGTCTTCCATTCTCCTTGAAATTTAAAAATCTAATTTTTTCCCCTTGTTTTTTCCTCTGTCCTTATCTGTGATGCTATGTGAATAATTAGCCCGAAGTTCATGGCTGTCATCTGCATTTGATAAGAACTATACCTCCTTGCCCCCAACACTCCCCCACAAACCTGAGTTGAGTTAGAGGCGCAGAGCATTCACTCAAGAATGTTAGTCTCAGCTCTGCTGCTCACCTGCTGTGTGACCTTGGGCAAATCACTTCATCTAACTGTATTATGTGGGAGCCTCGGTTCCCCACATCTGTAAAATGGGAAGAATAAAACCCATGTCATACGGTTGTTGGAAGAATTTTTTTTTTTTTTTTGACAGAGTCTCATTCTGTCACCCCGGCTGGAGTATAGTGGCACAATCTTAGCTTACTGTAACCTCCCGGGTTCAAGCGATTCATGCCTCAGTCACCAGAGTAGCTGGGACTACAGGCACGCACCACTACACCCAGCTAATTTTTGTAGTTTTAGTAGAGACGAGGTTTCACCATGTTAGCCAGGCTGGTCTCAAACTCCTGACCTCAAGTGATCGCCCTCCTCAGCTTCCCAAAGTGCTGGGATTACAGGCGTGAGCCACCGAGCCCTGGCCATTTTTGGAAGAATTTAGAGTTACATAAAAATGTAAGTACTTACCACAGTTTCTGGGGCTACTGTAATTCCCTGTATCAAGGCCCCACTAAAGATCCCCACAGCCCCACCCTGCTGGCCCCAAAGTACTTTGCTTTGGAACATTCAGAACTCAGGCTTCTTCCTTTTACTTTCTCTCTTCTCTTCACCTGGCAAACTCCTATGTAAACTTCAAAACCCAGAACAGCTGTCACCTCTTCTGTGATGCCTTCACAGATTGTAGTCAGATAATTGTAGCAGCAGCAGTATACCTCCTCAGGACAACCCCTTGACACTTTATTCGTTTTTCCATCATAATGGTTACCCCGTTATGTCCTTATCTGTTTTCATGCCTTTCCCCTCTGCTGCCACTAGCATTTTGAAGGCCAGATGAACATCATTCATCCTTAGATACCCTCAATGTCTGGCAGCCAGTAGGCACTCAAAAAGGCTTGCTTACTGAAGGTATCAGATGTGGGCATTTTTGAGTCTTTCCCTCTCCAGAGTCTTCTCCAGGGCTGAGCTATTCCTGTCCTGGAAGTGTTCGATGGCTTTTTAGCCAACTTCCCACGAGACAGCCCTGGCCAAGCCTGCCTCTCCCTGTCTTGTACCCTCTTCAAGGTCTCTTTAGCGTCTTCCTGTTGCCCTCATTTTCTTAATAGAAATTGCCTTTAAAAATGCTTCCCCCCGCTAGTTATAGAAATGACATGAGTGAATATTTTTGTGTCCTTGGAGCAAAAATGATATCTAGCACCGTGAAGGAAAAGATTGATCTGGTTACACAAAAATGAAAACGTCTATATGGCAAGAACAAATGCAAAAACCAATTAAAACACAAACATATTTTCTCTTATTATTATTTTAGAGAGAGGGTCATGCTCTGTCATCCAGGCTGGAGTGCAGTGGAATGATCATAACTTACTGCAGCCTCAAACTCTTGGGCTCAAGTGATCTTCCTGCCTCAACCTCTTGAGTAGCTGGGACTACAGGCACACCCCACTGCACCTGTAACTTTTAAATTATTTCGTGTAGACAGAGTCTTGCTTTCCCAGGCTGGTCTTGAACTCCTGGCCTCAAGTGATGCTCCTGCCTTAGCCTCCTAAGGTGCTAGGATTATAGGCATCAGCCACCTGGCCTCTCCCCACTCCCCTCCTTCCCTCCTCCTCCTCTCCCTCCCTCCCCCTTCCCTCCCCTTCTTTTTTCTTTTTCTAGACAGAGTCATGCTCTGTCACCCAGGCTGGAGTGCAGTGGTGCCATTTTGCTCACTGCAACCTCCGCCTCCCAGTTCAAGCGATTCTCCTGCCTCAGGCTCCTGAGTAGCTGGGACTACAAGAGTGTACCACTACACCCAGCTGATTATTCTATTTTTAGTAGACATGGGGGTTTCACCATGTTGGCCAGGCTGGTCTCAAATTTCTCGAATTCTTGGCCAGCCAAAGTGCTGGGATTACAGGCATGAGCCACTGTGCTTGGCCCCGTATTCTCAATGTTAGTGACAAGCAGAGGGCTAATGTGTATACAGGGAATTTCACCAACCAATAAGAAAAGATTTTTAAAAACCCAATAGAGAAAAATGGATAAAGGACATGAAACAGAGAAATATAAATGACCAATAAAAATAAGAAAATATATGTAACTCAACTAATTTAAAAATTGGAAGCATGTTGGAACTTCTGCAGCTATCACCTTGGTAAAGATGAAAAAGTTTGCTAGTAATCATTTTAGTGAGGGAGTGGGCAAACAGAAGTTTGCTCATTGTAGAGACTCAGTCTGTGACCTGCTATGGTTCCAGGACTGGCAGTGTTGGCATTACCTGGAGGCTACTTAGAAGTGCAGAGCCCGGGCATAGTGGCTCATGCCTGTAATCCCATCACTTTGGGAGGCCGAGGCAGGTGGATCACTTGACGTCAGGAGTTCAAGACCAGCCTGGCCAACATGGTGAAACCCCGTCTCTACAAAAAATACCAAAATTAGCTGGGTGTGGTGGCACATGCCTGTAGTTCTAGCTACTCAGGAGGCGTAGGTGGAAGGATAGTTTGAGCCTGGGAGGCCGGAGGCTGCAGTGTGCCAAGATCATGCCGCTGCACTTCAGCCTGGGTGACAGCAAGATGCTGTCTCAAAAAAAAAAAAAAAAAGAAAAAAGCCCTGGTGCAGTGGCCTTAAGCTACTGTAAAGTATCTTAACAAAGTGCCTGTAATCCCAGCACTTTGGGAGGCTGAGGTGGGCGGATCTCTTGAGGCCAGGAGTTCTAGACCAGACTGGCCAACATGGTAAAACCCTGTCTCTACTAAAAATACACAAATTAGCTGGGTGTGGTGGCTCACACCTGTAATCCCAGCTACCCCGGAGGCTGAGGCAGGAGAATCACTTGAACCTGGGAGGCAGAGGTTGCAGTGAGCTGAGATCATGCCAGTACCCCCCAGCCTGGGAAACAGCCAGACTCTGTCTCAGGAAAAAAAAAAAACAAGAATCTCAGACCCCATTGCAGAACTGATCAGAACCTGCCTTCTAACCAGGCCTTCAGGTAACCTGCATATATACATCAGAGGTTGAGAAGTGCTCCTTCAGAGGAGTGGGAGCCAGCCTGCCTGGAAGTGAATCCTGCCCCTGCCAACTCTGTGACCTTTCACATGTATCCGCTAGTATTGGGCAGCAGTGCTGTGTGATAAACCAGCCCCAATCCAGCAGCTTAAACCAACAACATTGATTCTCATGGATCCGTGGGGCTGCTGGGGCAGCTCTACTTCATGCTGCAGCTCTACAGACCTGGTGTGCTTGTGTGGCTCTCATATCCCTGGGACCAGTGGGCTGGCCGGGGCTTGTTCTTCCCATGGTGATGGCAGAGGCACAAAGGGGCAAGTGAGGCTTCCTGAAGGCTAATCTTATAACTAGCATGCTGTCACTTCCACCCATATCCCATTGGCCAAAGCAGGTCACGTGACACAACCAAGCCCAAATGAAGGAGCAGGGAAGGATACTTGGCCATTGGTGGAGGACTGTAGTCTCGTGGCAAAGGGCATGGACATGGGGGTGGGGATGGCATGTGACATAAGTCTGTGTTTTAATTTCCTCCTCTTCTGCAAGAGGGACAAGATGGGGACGTGCCCACCTTGTAGGATTATAGGGGACTCAATGAGTTAATAGACATGAAAGTGACTAGAACATGGCGTGGCACAGAGCTAACATGTCATCCTCAATGGATGTTGTTAGCTGGTGTTATTGTGGGTAAGGGAATATAGATATGTTCTGCATTTTTGGGGGAGGCTGTTTGTCAATATCTATGAAAATTAAAAATACGTGTACCCTTTGAGCCAGTAGTTCCTCTTGGAGGGATTTAATCCGGCAAGCTCACAAAGATGGACAGACAGACATTCACGTGCACGTCTACTGACCACTGTGTTGTTTTCATAGTTTAAGCCTGGAGATGCCATGTGTCTAGCTGGGGGCCTCTGCTGCTGACTGAGTGTCCCCTCCTTCCCCTCCAGGTGGGCCTTCCTGGAGCTGGGCACAAGTGGCCAATACAATGACAGCTTGCAGGCCTATGCAGCCGGTGTGGTGGAGGCTGCTGTGTCGGAGGAGGTAAGGGCC